>NC_000003.12:87282727-87585757 GCF_000001405.40 Homo sapiens
TCTTTAGTAGTCTTACTGGGTGACACAAGGATATCATATGGTGTAATAAGAAATGAATACAGAACATTGCAAATTAAATGACATTGTGCTGAGTGAGTCTGCCACCTTTTTTCATTTAGGCATCTCTAAAGATGAAAGAAGCAGAATGCTTTCTTAGTTACTGCAATAAGATTATTTAATTATAATCATCTGGCTATGGCTTAGTTCATGACACAAGATAATCTAATGTAGGGATTGCAGAAGGGAGATGAGGTAAACAGGGGTACAAAGCGGGAAGAAGAAAGGTGTTTCATTTCCTCTGATGGAGATCAAAAGGTATATTTGATTATTTGGGATTTCCCAGTGTTTTGTTTTGTTTTGTTGTTGAGGGGGCCTGGACTATGTTAACTAAAAAATTCAGCCTATCAGGATTGTTTAAGGATATAGAGACTCAGTCATGTCTCTACAATCCACAAAATTTGGTAAAACAATTTCATAAAAGTGAAGGTAGGCAAAACTTACCATATATCACAATGAAGAATTAGAAGGCTTTCAGAAGACAGATTCATCCCATGTTCTGCTTTAAGACTCTCTATTCTACCATAAATTGTTTATACAATTTCTGCCTATCCTTGTTTATTTTTTAACTACTATGTTTCAAAGTATAATTTATGCTGTCTTTTTCCCTACTTAATATTCAGAAATGTAATAGGCAGATGAAGTGCTTATAAATTTTTGTTCCTTCCGTCGAGAAACTGGGTATCTAATAAATTAAATTTTCATAAATCATTGTTATTCTGAATCACTAAGGAGAGTAGATGTGGCTGAATCTTACTTGATTTATGATTCAAGCAGGAAAAAAATGAGTGGTTTGATGGATGTGAGAGAAATAAATGGCAGCATAACTAAATGAATTGAAAAATCCCAGTGACTGGGGGACATTACTTAGTGCTTAAGGCTGTTCCTGGCATGTAGCATAGGAATGCAGTACTCTTTTTGATTATTTAGTGATTAATTATTTAGTAATTAAGAATGCAGTACTCTTTAGTGAAAAGAAAATTGTTTCTTTTATAATAAGATAGTTCTTTCTGAATTCAAAATCAAAATCAGATTCAGTTAATGTTTATTGAACATGTACTTTGTGACATATTTGTACAATGTACTTTAAAATACATTGTTATTCTATCATATGCTATTTAAATTGTTATAATTTTAGTGCTTTCCGAGTTATCTGCTCATCTCTGTCCTATATTTTCACAACATTGTTGGAGAGATTATTGTTTGTAAATTTGTCATTTACCTTTTTATCGGTTTAAAAACAACACGTTCCTATATGTTTCTTATAGTGTTACTATCACAGAAACATTCAATATGCTGGTTTATATTTAATTCAAAAATCATAATCTTCCCACATACTTTTTTATCAAGTACTAAAATTCTTTCAGTGCAGGAACTGAACAATTATTGTGCAATTAAATGTAGTGATAAACTCAAGCTTAATTCTTAAGTGTCATGCTGAGGAAGTGAAATATGCTGTCCTCTATGCAGGGGAAAATGGAGAGAACAGATTAAAGAAAATTTATATGAGAATACTTTCTTATGTCCCAAATAGCAATGAAATATGCATGTATATGTGTAGGTATGAATATATGTGTGTATATATATGTGCACGCATGTGTGTGTATATATGTGTGTGTATGTGATTAATTGCTGTCTAGATAATAAAGCTCTGAATAAAATAAATATAATAACATTACTTTTGACAGGAGGCTGGAAGTTTAATTAAGAAAAATTGAAAGATTCAATAACAGGTAAATAAAATTATAATTTCTCTCACTGAGACACCTGCCTTATACTACATTGATTCTGCAAATGAAAATTGCCACGTTGTGCCCTGCAGGAACTGTCTCTGCAGCTAAAGCTGTTCTTCTCACGGTTCTCAGAGAACACGTAGGATGTAAACAAAGTGCTCTGACAGAATTTTTTAAAAACTAGGTTAGTTAAATTCTGAATTTTAAAGGATGATAAATAATCAATCTGAGTAAAACAGCTGACCTGAAAATGTTTGTAGACAATATATTTAAATGCATAAAATAAATTAAATCAATGACATTGATATTATTAAGATACTACAGATAAGCGAACATTAAAAAGTGAGTTTTCATGAAGTCAGGTAAGGAACTATAAAGTCAGAAGTGACTAGAATCTTCTAATTACTTCATCCTATGAAGTAAGATTATTTTTAAGCACATTACATGCCATAATAAATAGTTATTATTCTTCTAATGAAAAATTGAAAAACTGATTCAGAAGTTACAAATGATTAATAGTTAAAAAGTTGATAATATTTACAAAATATAAAAACACATGACAATGTTTTCTAAAATACATTCCCTCTTAATAAGCCTGTGTATTGACTAGTTAATACACAGTGAAATAAACACGTACCTTAACTTGTCTTACTTTAACTCTATATACTTTCAAGGGATTAAATAGACTGGAGATGGTGAGGGGAAAGAAAAGGATAAGGAAGAGAAGAGGGGGTCCAGGGAAGAAAGGTGCAGAGACTGAGAAAGATTGACCATTTACCATAAATCTAAAAGGCCCATGTGTGTGTCATGGTAGGTAGGAACATGCACACGGTACATGTGCGGGAGAAAATAGTGTTCATGTTTCATATGTGCCATATGCAAAAGAAAAATATACCATACAGAAAATTCAGTTTATTGTAATAGAGATGGTATAAAGGAAAATATCATAAAGTATTTTGGTTTTGTATTCTTAAATTATTACTTATAGTATCTGCTCTATTTGTGCTTGATATTCGTAATTTGGAGAGAAAAATTAGGGAGATGGGAAGGATGAAAATAGAATGCATAGAACAAGTTCTTAGGATTAGTCAATTACGCAAGTTTGTAAAGCTAACTACAAAATTCTAGTTTAAAAATGACTAGTAATGAGAACAAAAGTTCTTTAGAGTTCATGGGGCTTTGTAATATTTTAATTGCTTCTTTTGTGTTGAAGAACAAAGTACAAATCATAATGATGTTGAGAAACGATGACCAAATGGAGATTAACGTGAAAGCACTCAGAAAATCCTTTTCATTTTTATTCATACCTGAACTTTGGGCACATACTTCTGTTTAATGAATATTGATGCGATAGACAGAAAAACATCATCTGTTCAAACATGGTCGGTAGTTTAAGGTTTCATTTTTCTATCAAACATCTTGCAGACCAAGTGATTTCATCAACATATTCAAATCAAAGCCTAGCACTTATTAAAGGTCACTTGTAATACTTTGAAACATAAGACAGAGAAGACAAGATGTTAACCTAAAAACATTATAATGGAGTTTTTTCTAATAAAGTAGTAATTAATATTTCATATTTATAATAATTCATTAAATTCTACTAATAATTTCAAAATCATTTATACAAATCTCATTGTAAACATTTAGTTTCTGATGTAAATGTTCTTAAAATGAGTAGGAAAAAATGTTATTTAATAAATGGTACTGTGACACTTGGCTTACATTGAGAAACATTTTGAGCTTCAGTTCTGACCATATAAGCACACATAGACTAAAATGTATTTTATAAAAATGCAGTTACACAAGTAGAATTTATAGGAGATTATTTCATCTCATCTTGAAAATTGACCTGTAAAGAAAAAAATAAGGATTCTTTTTGGAAAAGACATATAGATTTGTGTGTGGGTGTGTGTGTGTATATATATATATATATATATATATATATATATATATATACACACATACATATATACATATAAAAATGTCTATACACTAAAATCACCATAAACATACTAATTTTAACACTTTCAGCTCTGAAAAAATGACAGTCTTATTAATGGAGAAAATGTTCTGCCACAAGAGGAATGATGTATAAAATAAAGTGTTTAAATGTATAACTGGGCTCCCATACACACACGAAAGAAACCACAAAGAAAAGGGGGGAAATAAAAGAAAAAAGAGAATCAGAAATCTTCATATATCAGGGAAAAGGTGGGTAAATATGTTGGTGAATCTATGCCACACCTGGCTTACTAGTGTGGTAGAACAAATGCCTCGCTTAGCAATAGTTAGCGACTTGGGTTTTAGTCGCACATTTAATGTACAGGAAACAAAAGCATGGATCCATACAAAGTGAACAATTGGATTCTAGACAGCTCAATTGCTACATCATCTTCTAAAGCTTGCACTCTCACTGGAAAAAAGAATTAGAGAAAAAGTATCTGCTAACAGAGAAAAAGAAACATGACAAAAAAAACCAAAACAAACAAAAAACCACCAAGAAAAAGCTTATCTCTGCCTGGGCTGCTGGTGAAAACAAACAAAAAAAACACAAAAGCTTCCCTTGATACTTTTTCTAGAAAAGAGGTATTTTTCACTCTAAGAAATAATCATGAAAACTATTCCTGTGAGAGTCATAGTCATGCTCCTTTGACAACTGGAAGGACTCACTCATAATGCTAAGTACCGGGGATTCACACAGCTGCACAATCACCATCACTACTGAAAATAAAGCTCATGACTAAAAATGACAAATCACATGAGTAAGAAATCCACCATGAGCAAGAGTGCAAAACCAACAAATTAAAGACTGAGCAGCCCAAGAACTTGAGCTAATGTAAATATTATTCAAAATAAACTAGAAAATAAATAAGGTCTAAAAGAAAAACTGGAAGCTGTAAGAAAAGAATAGGCACTAAAGTAAAGAACATGTACATTTAAAAACAAACCAACTTGAAAATATAGAAATGAAAATAAAATAAGTGAAATGAAAAACTCTGTAGATAGCATAAACAGATATAACTGAAGAAATAATGTAAAAAATTCTATTTATATCTGTGGGAATAATTTACAACAAAGTACAAAGAAATAAAGAAATGTGAAATAAGCTAGAAAATTTAAGAGATGGTATAACATGAGGTCTATTATATTATGAATAGGAATTCTAGAAAAAGAACATAAAATCTGGGAGGAGCAATATTCAAATATATGATGGCAAAGAAATTTCTAGATTTCCTGACAGATAATGTTCAGATTCAAGAACAGTAGGCCCCAAGCAAATCACAAAATACCCCAAAGAGCCAAAGCAATCTCAAGTAAAAAGAATAAAGCTGAAGGCATCAAACTATCTGACTTTAAAATATATCGCTAGGTCATAGTAACCAAAGCAGCATGGCATTAGTACAAAAACAGACATATAGACCAATAGAACATAATAGAGAATCTAGAAATAAATGCATGTATTTGCAGCTAATAGATACTTGACAAAGGTGCCAAGAACATCCAATGGGCAAAAGACAGTCTCTTCAATAAATGGTGCTGAGAAAATTGGATATCTATATGCAGATGAATAAAACAAGACCCCTATCTCTCACCATATGCAAAAATCAACTCAAGATGGATTAAATATTTAAACATGAGACCTGAAACTGTAAAACTACTAGAAGAAAACAGGGAAAATACTTCAGAACAATGGTCTAGGCAAAGGTTTTACAGCTATGACCTCAAAAGCACAAGCAACAAGAACAAAAATAGACAAATAGGACTATATGAAACATAAAAAGCTTCTGCACACAAAAGAAACATTCAGTAGAATGAATAGGTATCCTGTTGAATGTAAGAAAATGTTTGCAAATTATTTATCCAACATGGGACTAATATCCAGAATATACAAGGAACTTGAACAACTCAACAGTACAAAAAAGTGGACACAGGACACGCATAATTTCTCAAAAGAAAACATAAAAATGGCCAACAAGTATGATATGTTTTGTCTGTGTCCCCACTGAAATCTCAATTCGAATTGTATCTCCCAGAATTCCCACGTGTCGTGGGAGGGAACCGGGGGAGGTATTTGAATCATGGGGGCCGGTCTTTCCCATGCTATTCTGGTGATAGTGAATAAGTCTCACTAGATCTGATGCTTTTCCAGGGGTTTCCGCTTTTGCTTCTTCCTCATTTTCTCTTGCCACTGCCATGTAAGATAAGCTTTTCACCTCCCCTCATCATTCTGAGGCCTCCGCAGCCATGTGGAGCTGCAAGTCCAATTAAATCTTTTTTTGTGTTCCCAGTTTTGGATATGTCTTTATCAGTAATGTGAAAATGAAATAATACAAGGTATATGAAAAAAAATGCTCAACATCACCAGTCATCAGGGAAATGCAAATCAAAACCACAATGAGATATAATATTACCACAGTTATAATGGTTATTATTTAAAAGACAAAACAACAGATGCTGGCAAGGATGAAAAGAGAACTCTTTCATCATTGGTGGGAATGTAAATTAGTACAACCACTATGGAAAACAATATGAAGATTCCTCAAAAATCTAAAAATAGAACTACCATACGACCCAGCAATCCCATTACTGAGTATTTATTCAAAGGAAAAAAATAGTATATCAAAGGGATATCAGCACTTACATGTTTCTCGTAGCACTATTCACAATAACAAAGATATGAAATTAATCCAAGTATCCATCAATGGGTGAATGAATAAAGAAAATGGGGTATATGTTCACAGTGGATGACCATTTGACCATAAGAATGACATCTTGTCATTTGCAGCAACATGAATGGAACTGAAGGTCATTATATTAAGTGAAATAATTCAGGCACAGGAAGACAAATAATGCATGTTCTCATGCATATATCAGAGCTAAAATAATTCATCTCATGGAGGTAGAGAATAGAATGATAGATACCAGAGGCTGTGAAGAGTGTGTGGGTTGAGGAGTGGATGAAGAGAGGTTGGTCAGTGAATATAAACATAAAGTTAGATGATTTTTTTTTTGAGACAGAGCTTCACTCTGTTGCCCAAGCTGGAATGCAGTGGCACAATCTCAGCTCCACCTCCCGGGATCAAGTGATTCTCATGCTTCAGTCTCCCGAGTAGCTGGGATTACAGGTGCCAACCACCATGCCCAGCTAATTTTTTATATTTTTAGTAGAGACGAGGTTTCATCATGTTGGCCAAGCTGATCTCAAACTCCTGGCCTCAAGTGATCTTCCTGCCTCAGCCTCCCAACCTGGTGGGATTACCAGGCATGACCCACTGCACTCGGCCTCAAAGAAATAAGTTTAATGTTCAATAGCAGAGTAGGGTGACTGGTTGGCAATGATGTATTGTATATGAAAGTGGCTAGAAGAGAGAACTTGAAATGTTCCCATCACACAGAAACACTAAATACTCAAAGTGATGGTTACCCTAAATACCTTGACTTGATCATTATATTAATACATTATATTACTACATTCTAAGCATGTAACAAATACCCACATTTACCCATAAAAATGTAAAATATAATGGATCAGTTAAAAAAGAAAAATCTGGGCCTGGCACAGTGGCTCATCCCTGTAATCCCAGCAGTTTGGGAGGCTGAAGTGGGTGGATCACTTCAGGTCAGGAGTTAGAGACCAGCCTGGCCAACATGGTGAAACCCTGTCTCGACTAAAAATACAAAAATTAGCCAGGTGTGGTGGCACACATCTGCAGTCCCAGCTACTTCGGAGGCTTGGGCAGGAGAATGGCTTGAACTTGGGAGGCTGAGGTTGCAGTGAGCTGAGATCATGCCACCACACCCTAGTCTGGGCGACAGAGCAAAGCTCTGTCTCAAAAAAAAAAAATAAAATAAAATAAATATAAAAAAGGAAAATCTAAGCAATAAACAAAGTCAACAACTATTAAATCTGGTGCTAAATATGTCAGTGTCTGAGTTTTTTATACATTAGGAATACAATACAATTGAAAATAAATTAAGATATAAAATACAGTTAATAACAAATTAAAGTATGTTCATGTCCTACTATGTGTCAGGTTGTTTTAGGCCCTGGAGATATAACAAGGAAGGAAACCCTGACAAAGCATACACATAGTCATTAAACAATATAAACAATATTCTGTTATACTAATACTCAAAGAAATAAAAATTATAATAACAATAAGATATGATTGATCATATATTAAGATTGAAAGAATAAAAAAGATAACAAATTGAAAATGTTATTCTCATAACTCTGTGTAGAAATGTAATCTGTATTGCATTTCTTATAAGTACCACATGCTAATTGATTGCACCACTGGAGCTACAAATTGGTATTACGTATCTATACATCTATTTGGCATCATCATCAATATGATGATGAATCTCAAAGTGTTAATGTAGAGTTCTTGCCCATAGAAATGTGTCATAAATATTTAGAGATGCCAACACATATTTCTGTATAAGTGTTTTCATAAAATTATTATTTTCTTAATAAGAAATGAAAAAGTCAGATGATAGGGGAATGTTGAAATAAATAATAGTATTTACATATAAGGAATACAATGCAGCAGTGGAAAAAATGTTTTAAAATAATATTTAATGGAATAGGCAATAAATCTCATTATAGAAATATAAACAAAGCAAGATAAAGAGCTTTCATAGAGATTTTCGACAAGTACTCTGAACCATGTTAATAGTTTAAAATTTTGTAAATAAACACTAGAATTCTTAGAAACTGTATTTTTTCTTTTCTAAAATGATGATAAAACAGATATGAAAATTCAACAATTATATCAATCAATCAACATAAAATAAAAATTTCAGTTTTCTGGTGAATCAGGATGTTATTCTAGAAACTGATATTCTCCACACCTTCTTCACCTGGAATGCAAAACACACAAAACAAAATGAAACAACAAACAAAAGAAAACAACTCTAAGGAATTGACATTTTGGGATGACTTAATGGGTTGTTTCTTATTTGTTTATCTGTTTTTTGTCATCTGGCTCTATTGTCTTTACCAAGTGCATTCAGTCTTAGTTGATCAAACAATCCACTTCATGTCACAATATTGAGCATAAGGTAAATTACCTTATTTATCAGGTAATTCATCAATTTATCAATTTTGATTTTTTTATGGAAAACTTTTAAAAGGGCTTTCTGATTTAAGGAGAAGTTTATGAATCGTTTAAGTAAGAATGTAAGATTAGAAGGGGAATAGTTAGAATAGAGGAAAAGCATCGAGGGGAACCATAAATATCCAGATATGGTGTGATGATGGCCTCAACTGGGAGATGGAGGGCTGACAGTGGGAAACAGGAAAGGCAAATAATGGAACATATATACTAGATCACACTATCCATATATTTAAGTTAAAACCCATATATAAAAAGAGATACAAACTAATGGCAATTGGAGAAGGCTTAGAATAAACAGTGTTTTATATGTCCTAGGAATTCCAGAATTTCATTCTCAAAGTTGAAATATGCTAAAACATTCATACAACATGCCTATATTTATTTACCAAACATTTTTGCAAGTGTATTCCAGAGGTATTTCAATTATACCTTTCAATAGATAAAATATCAGTTCTACAAAACTATTTTTTCCACAGAGAGATAATTTTGAAGAAATGAAAATAACTAAGTTTTTCAATAATTATTTACTAAACATACACAACATACTGGGTACTGTGATTCTTGGTTGGGAGAGAAGCAGAGATGCATAAGATGTTGTCCCTGCTTGAGTTTAGGATATTTTTTAACCAACAAGAAATACTATTTCCTTCATTGTTGCTGGAAAAGTTTATTTCATTGTTTTGGAGAAATTGAACTGGTCTAAAGAGACCTGGAATAAGAGTTCTCCCTCAGTGCTCACATAGCCAGTCTAATTACTCTTTCACAGCCAGATTCTCACATCTTCAATAGAATCACTTAACACTGAGTTGAAAGACACCTTAGAGATCATGTAGTCCAACTTGCTAATCAGTTAATAAAATAAGAAGGCTTTACTGAGATCCAACCATGTAAGACACTATAAGACACTAGGGCTATATATACAGGCCCTACTAAGAAGAAGCTCATGATTTTGAGAGAGTCCTAACCTCAAAACTAAACAATGCAACAAGGCAAGACTATAATATAATTACATACATCACACCTAAGGATTACTGAGAAAAGAGTAATTCATTTGCATTTACAAGTGTGGTCATGGGAGGGGGGAGCAAACTGTGGAAGATTTAATAACATAGTAGGTAGGTGACATTTTAGCTAGATATTGAGATATTAATATACCAATAGAAGAAACAAAGAGAGCAGAGGAGTGTAAGGATGAAGACACAAGAAACAGCATGGTCGTCTGCAGAACTGAGTTGTTTTCATTTGACTAGACTGAAGGAAAGAAGACTATCTTGATTGACATCTATATTCTATGACCAGATGGTATAGTTACCCAAAGAAATATTGAGGTTAAATTAAAGAAGAAAATAAAGACATTGGTCAGGAAAAATCAAGAGCTATTCAATACAAAACTAAATTACTCAGTAATGAAGGGAAATCAGTAATTGGAGGCTAAAACTCAGACAGTTTTCTTAAAAAAGAAGTTTGAAGTAAACAGAGTGAGTGATAAATTCTGTGGGGTGGGATATTTCAAAGAAACAAACATTACAGAGACTGCTGTAGATGGGAGCCTATGAGTCTTTTGGCCGCCCCTATTCCACATTTTCTTTTGACCTCTCTACTGTATTACAAGGACCCAGCCTCATCCTGGGCCTTTTAGAAGCATCTGTGGTCTGAGAGTTGCTTCCTGGCTGCATCCAGGAAGGGTAACAGTGCATTTGACATTGGGAGTGGGCATATACAAGCCAAAGGAAGTTGTCTGAATAGCAATCTCTAAATAACACAGAAATCTTTGGTGAAGAGCTCCGAGTGTGGACTGAACCTTCTTCAGCACTTATGCTCATCCTTTCTGAAGTCCTTGAGTTCTGCTTAAGAGTTGCCTGCAAGTCTTCTCTTCTCCAAGTAGCCACACCACTATTCTCTAAGTGGAATAAGATAATAAGTAAACTCTTGATAATAGAAGCTTAAGCTGAAGTGTCACTGTGAAACAAGAATTTGAAGTAAAAATATCAGTCCACCAATGTGCTCATGATATCCTACAACTTTACCCTGTAAATACAGTGCTTAAAATGAAGCATCTTCCAAAGCTTGTATTTAATCCCTTTTCATAAGCTAAGACCATCTTAGTATAGGCTATATAGCCCATCTACACATTTGCTTGAAATATTATTTGCAACTTCCTCTTAAATTGCAAATATTGCTATAGCATTGTCATATGTCAAATGTAACCCAGGAAGTATACAATTTGTGGATACAGAAGATGTCAGAGAGAAAGTATATTTATAGAATGGATAGTTACGGCACAAGAGAAAATCTATTAACATTGTCACATTAATACAATTTGTATTGTATCAAGATTTGTTTAAAGTATTAATAAGAAAATTGTTTAAATACTCCATTTCATAGTAAAAATGTTTTATACCATTCTTAATGTGCATATTTACCTAGGGTAACTGGCAGTTTTAAACGACAAAAACCTTGATCAGAAAACACTTAAGTCATTTCAGAATTAAGGGTTGTTTACCACAACGTCATAAGCTGTTATAAGTTTGGTGAAGTCTAATTTTAACTATAATGTCAATAGCAAGTACTGTGAGTAGGTGTTAAAACTTTATATACTAAGTATGTATACTAAAACTTCATATACTAAAAGCAGGTTAGGTAGGAAAATGAACTGTGTTAGTCTGTTTGCATTTCTATAAAGGAATAGCTTTGTCAGATGTATAGATCGTGAAGATTTTCTCCCAGTTTGTGGGTTGGCTCTTTACTCTGCTGACTGTTCCTGCATATCTGACAAGGGACTAATATCCAAAATCTACAATGAACTCAAACAAATCAGTAAGAAAAAAACAAACAATCCCATCAAAGAGTGGGCTAAGGACACGAATAGACAATTCTCAAAAGAAGATATACAAATGGCCACCAAACATATGAAAAAATGCTCAACATCACTAATGATCAGGGAAATGTGAAATGAAACACAATGTGATACCACCTTACTCCTGCAAAAATGGCCATAATAAAAAAATCAAAAACCAGTAGACATTGGCATGGATGTGGCGATCAGGGAACATTTCTACACTGCTGGTGGGAATGTAAACTAGCACAGCCACTGTGGAAAATAGTGTGGAGATTCCTTAAAGAACTAAAAGTAGAACTACCATTTGATCCAGCAATCCCACTACTGGGTATCTACCCCAGAGGAAAAGAAGTCATTATTCGAAAAAGATACTTGCACACACATGTTTATAGCAGACAATTCACAATTTCAAAATCGTGAAACCAATCTAAATGCCCATCAATCAACGAGTGGATAAAGAGACTGTGATATATATATATATATATATATATATATATATAAAATCCCATATCATATCATATATATCTTATATCATATCATATATATACACATCATATATATATAATGGAATACTACTCAGCCATAAAAAGGAATGTATTAACAGCATTTGCAATGACCTGGATGAGATTGAAGACTATTATTCTAGGTAAATTAACTCAGGAATGGAAAATCAAATATTGTATGTTCTCACTGATATGTGGCAGCTAAGCTATGAGGACACAAAGGCATAAGAATGTGACAAATGGACACTGGGGACTTGGGAGGAAGAGTGGGAGGGGGACAAGCGATAAAAGACACATATATGGTGCAGTGTATACTGCTCGGGTGATGGGTGCGCCAGGATCTCACAAATCACCACTAAAGAACTTACTCATGTAACCAAATACCACCTGTAACCCAATAACTTATGGAAAAATAAAAATTTAAAAAAGGCATACCTGAGACTGGGTAATTCATAAAGAAAAGAGGTTTATTTGGCTCACGGTTCTGCAGGCTGCACAGGAAGTGTGATACTGGCATCCATTTCTGGTAAGGGCCTCAGGAAGCTCACAATCATGGTGGAAGGCGAAGGGGGAGCAGGCATATCACATGGCAACAGAGAGCAAGAGAGAGAAGGGAATAGGTGCCAGGCTCTTTAAAACAACTCAGTGCATGAACTCATTCCCACAGGGAGGACACCAAGCCATTCATGAGGGACCACCCCCATGACCCAAACACTTACCACCAGGCCTACCCCCAACATTGGGAAACATTTCAACATAAAATGTGGAGGGGATAGATATCTGGACTATATCATGGGCTTACACTTAAATCTCTTTATTTCCTAGAACAGGTTCTTCATTACTTGAGAACTACCTACTGTATTTCCCATGGCTCCAATTTATGAAATTTGAATGTCATGGCATTTACTGGGCATTCACATTTACCATTACCATAGCCATGGTTGCATTTATGCAAGTAACAGTCATGTCTTTGTCTTTGAATTAGTTTATGACTAATGTTCATTTAATCAGAATGGACATTAATAAAACACTAGCAGAAAATGTGTCATTATCTTTGTAGCAGCAATAATCTATAGTATAAGCAGGCACTTTCTACTAAATTAGTATCCATTTTTACTAAATCTCATTCTACTAGCTTTCAGTAATTCATGCATCTTCAAAAGTTACCCAATGCAGTACTCAAGAGTGGTTTATTTATTAAGAGGTTCTACATTGTAGGGTGTCAAAGGATGGGCTAGGCAGTCCCCAAGTCTAAATTAAAAATTTTAAGCATGATGGTTTGAGTTGCAGTTTTTCTATTCAGACTGAAACTATATCTTAAAACAGTTATTTAGAGACAGGAAAAGCACTTTTAGCAAACATATACAGAGATAAATTGTTTCAGGAAATAAAAATAGGCTTTCTCAATGTTATGTCAACTCAAATTCTCAAGAAATTATCATCGAATAGAATTAGACAGTTTTCCTGTTGCTCATTCAAGCAGATGGTCGGCATTGACCATCATTTAATGATAAAGCAACACAGAACAACAATATGAATTTTCTCCTCAAAAGAATATTAATACTTTGATCAGTATAAAGTATTCGCTATATAGGTTAAGTAATGAGTGTCTAGATATGTCTCCACAGAGGTACGTGCTACTATGGTTTTGGTGATAAGTTATGGTTTTTCTATAGTTTAGTAGAATATATAAGCATTATGAGACATCACTTTTTTTGCTATAGAAATTACATTAAATTTGTTTTACGTTAGGAAAGCCTACAAGAGTGTTGGATATTGTTCATTTGTTTGTTTTTTGGTCTGGATGGCAAGTAGAAACTTCAATCAGAGTTGTCTTGGCAACTTCATTATTAAATTCCTGTAGGGTCTGCTCTGATTAGGGAGCAAAAAAGCAATAAACAGATTGTGAACCTCCAGGTTCCCAAAGACTTTGCATCTTTCCCATAATTTGGCACTAATATACTAGGTAGATAAAATGCTCATATTCTTATTACTCCTTTCATTTTAAAGAAGGTTTTGAAAACAACCAACCACACGAAACCTCAACCAATAATTCTTTAAGTTACTGGTAAAACTGATCATTTTTCCCCAAAAAAGGTCTTCAAGAGAATAAAACCTACAGTAAATTTTTTTATTGAGTATATTTATGCTTTGTACCCAGACTATTTTTTAAAAAATTTTTAAGTCACTTACAAAAAAAGTATTGAAAGCCAGAGAATTACAAATGAAGCAAGAAAAGAAATATCCAAGTTATGTAGCAGAAAGGATGCAGAGAGGGGTACTGTGACCTTTGGTTCATGGCAGGCACATGGATGACTACATTAAGGGAGACAGCAAATATTCCAAGTACTAAATGTTTTCATGGCAGCACTGTGCAACTAGAGCACAGCATAAAGACATGAGCGTTTCTAGAATCCCCTCCGAAAAACGCTCAGAAACGTGACTTTATAAACTTTGCCTGTTACAAAATTTCACCTTCAGGGTGCATCTGCTTTGCCATTTCTCCCCTACTTTATTTTTCTGCCCCAGGAAAAGAACAGTAAACTGTTATCCAAAATATGTTTGGAAGGATGAGTTAAACAAAATTAAGAGCCAATTGCTGAGAGTTAATCCAGAGTGGTAAAACTTTTATTTCATTTATTCAATAAAAACAAACAAAGTTTCTAAGCAGGGATCTGTCATTCCTGGCCTCTCCCCATACAAACACTCTAGAGTTAAATTATAAGCCTTTTGTAAGCTGGCACCAATACTTCCATTCTAATTATTTTTATTTTAAATGCAGGTTTACATTTCTGTTAATTGTTTAGGTGATTTCCATGAATAAAAGAAATTAGAGAACTTGAGAGGGGAAGAGAGAGGCCTGTATTGCAGGCTACTCTGACTGTAGCATGCAGTGATCATTCACCCACAGACTCAGGAAATACAATGGAAAATTGATTAAAGGCATGTTTATTATTGATGAGTGTGCATCGCACAAATTGCGTTCAAATAGTCTTAAAAATTCTTAAAATGCTTTTATATAAAAAATTTAGAACAATTTCAAACAAAAAGTTGAATTAAAAGCAATTCTTGTACCTAAAGTCAACTCCTCATTAGAAACTTTTGCTATTACAAACGTTTTCCAGGTCTTGGATGGACACTTTTACTGCATTTTTAAATGAATTTTTAAAAAGTAAAATTCAAATTAGCTAAAGTAACTTTACGTACTTTGCATACAGTACATTACTTAACTTTCTAGATTCTCACGGTCCACTTTCATACTATGCCCACTATGTTTGCTTTTTCCTCCATTATACTGGCAATTTCTTTAATTACACCAGCAGGTGGCACTATGATACACTGAACCAGGGAAAACAAAATGAATTGTTAACATTTCGCTGGGACTATTGATTGCTGTCAGGAAAATCAACTTCTAAAGTCAAGTCATATTTTAATATTTTTCTTTATTAAAACCTGCAAATAAAAAGTTAAAGCTTGACTTCTGGGTACTTTTATGAATTATACAGAGATGATGAAAGGTATATATCTGTTTCTTCAGAAAATTTGGAGCTATGCAAAAGAGGAGCACCCAGAATACACATTGAGTGTGTTTCCAGGGCAAATCTGCCTAAGATAAAGGCAGATATTTATGAAAAGCTTTAAAGTGGCATTTGCTTAGAAGGTTCCAAATGTACTTATTTATTAATAAAAAAAATTATACTCCATAATGAAACTGTTTAAAATCAACTCTGAATCATCAGTAAATGATAATTATTTGTTTCAATTTTCAAGAAAAATGTAACAACTATTTATTTTATTGTTTTATCTAATCTTACCACTGAAACCATCAATACATGAACGATTATAATATTTTTAAAACAAAGTTATGCTGTACTGCAAAGTATTTTCAAAATTTGCAGTACCAAAGATCACATTATATATGTTTGCTAGCATAAGTTTTGCTGAATATCAGAAAGTGTTTAAGGAAAATCTACTCTACTGAGGGAATATTGCTTTATTTACTTTATAAACTTGTATCTCTACGTACAATTGAAATAAGATATATGTTTTTAGTTTAATATATTCTCACCAACACCCTAGAACAACACACTAGGAAAACTCTTTAGGCAGCCAAATCTAGGCCACCACTCATTTTGTAAATAAAGTTTTACTGGAACGTAGCTATGTATGTTCATTTGTGTATTGTCTATGAATGTTTCACACCAACAGCTGAGTTGAACAACTGTGTTATAGATGGGCTGGCCCACACAATCCAAAATACTTATCTGCCCTTTACAAAACGGTTTGCCAACCTAATTCTTTTTTTTTTTTTTTTTTGAAACGGAGTCTCGCTCTGTCGCCCAGGCTGGAGTGCAGTGGCGCGATCTCAGCTCACTGCCAGCTCCGCCTCCTGGGTTCACGCCATTCTCCTCCTGCCTCAGCCTCCTGAGTAGCTGGGACTACAGGCGCCCGCCACCACGCCCGGCTAATTGCTTTTGTATTTTTAGTTAGAGACGGGGTTTCACCGTGTTAGCCAGGATGGTTTGGATCTCCTGACCTCGTGATCCGCCCGCCTCAGCCTCCCAAAGTGCTGGGATCACAGGCGTGAGCCACCGCACCCGGCTTGCCAACCTAATTCTAAAATACAAGTTTGATTTATTTTTTTTCCTTTCAAATTACGTAAAGAAATTGCATGAATAAAAAGTACAATAATAATCTAATATATGCTTGTGATTGCTCTCTACCAATTGTTATACAAATAATTAAATGAAACATCAAAATTGATTAATTAATACTGAATTCTTTAGACTTCAAATAATTTTGGATGGATATCCCATGAGACACAGGGGATACAAATAGTTATAACACTCTGTTACTCATATGCAGGAGCTTATAGTGTTTTTGCAGAGGTAATATACTTAAAAAAGAGAACTGCTAATACAAACCAAGTTAAGCTAAGTTCCAAAGATTAGATATAGTGAATAAATGCTGTAAGAATTCAGGAAAAGGATAGATGATTGTTTAAGGTAACTAAATTTGGAGGCTATGTAATCAATAATAATTTTAAAGATGGAGAGTTTGCTTAATCCTAAGAAGTAGGATTCACAAGTTTGGTTAGCAAGGGTAAGAAAGAACATTCTAGACCAAAAGAATAGGTTGACTCATTTTGATGTAGGTACATGTATTCCAAACATTTATAACATTTTATAATTTATTTTATTATTAATATGTTACTATGTTCTTGAGTTTTTGATGGTTTTGTCATTTAACTTAAAATGGAAATATGTATCTAATTTGTAAAGGATAATTCCTACCAGAAACATATTGTATAGAGAAGTAATCGCTAAATGATGACTATAAAAAACTACAGTTTATGTGGTGCCTAAATTCGTTTCCTCCCAGTCTCCAAAAAAGAGTGATTTTTAAATTCAGTTAAGTATAATCAAAACAATATTAGTAGAGCTTACTATACAATTGATCCTGGTTTTTAAGTACCTAGGCATACAAATATTTTATCTGAGTATGTCAAGAGAGACAGTTCAAGGGAATAGAGTTTGTTAATACAGAAGACAGAATAATACTATATATTTTATCTTCAACTTAATCTGTGTGCTTTCATTTCAAGGGCCACAAGTGTTAAGATAATTCAAGAGGTTAGTAAAAATGTATAATGAATTATTATCGGATTGAAACAGGTATTCAATGTTTTTAAACAGAGTTTTGCTTCATATTCAGAGGAAAAGGAACAAGTTAAAAAGCATATTAAATGTTGTTTCAGTATGACTGTTCTGTCTTCAGTGGAAATGCTGGGCAGTTTTGATTGCTTATTCTTTGCTTATTTTAAAATACATTGTCTAGAATTTTCTTAGATAAATTTGAAATTAAGAAAAGAAAATAAATCTTCTTAGGATTTACTTCTGCTACAATTTAGAGTGTGAATATAGAGAAAGACCTAAACAATATGACTTTGGAGTACAGGAATTATAGCATTAAATAGGATATTGGTAGAGCAGGAAATTCTAATTAACTACAGTAACATGTCAGTTATTTGGCACTGTTCGATAGAAATAATAGGATGTGAATTTCTATTAAACACATCCTATTACCGTTATTAATGTATAACATTACATGTTATACATTACAAATAACATGCCAAATAACACTGTAATAGTATGTGTTCAATAGAAATTTTTGTCTGTGAAACTAGAGACAATCCTTTTCAGTGTTAAAACATTTTAAAAAACATAAATAACTAAGATTCTTGAAGATTATATAATATTTATTAGTTGATGCAAGATCATCATCAATATCAGTCATCCTCATCTTATTAGGCATCAGTAGCCACATTTGCCACTCTAATTAGAAGGGCAAACAGATTTGGACAAAACTAATTGTGGCCTATGGGAATATTGTTTCCCATTCTTTAATTCCTTCCTCTGCCATACGACCTTGAAGTGCACTAGAGTCCGTGAAATGCATTGCTCTGCTCCATCCATGTTGGGCTTAGTCAAATGATTTTTTTAGGCATATGCAATATGGATAGGTCTTAAGAAACACTGTGTATTTCTACTTGCTTTCTTATGCTCATGTTAAATGTCAAAAGAAGAGTATGCCCTGGATAGCTGCTGGTCCCAGAATGAGACCTGTGGAGCTCCCTGGAGCCCCACCGATACCCTGGAGCCCCACCCAGCTGACCCACAGCCTGAAGCAGAACTGCCCCATATAGATTTTTGAACAAGAAGAATAAATGTTGCTGCTTTTCTGAGCCATTGAATTTAAGTAATAGCTCTGTACTATACAAGATATTCTGCATAAACCAAAGACTTTATTTTTGGTGACTTCAGCTTATATTAATCTATAAGTCATGAATAAAGCATAAGGCTTGTTTTTGAAAATTGATGGTGGAAACCTCACTTAGTTTTTTATACATGCATAACGCAAGTTAAGCTGTAAATTGTAGAAATTTCTGAATCTTTTCTAGATGCGCGATCAGTTTTACCTGTATCTGAAATAGATGGTTCATGGAAGCACCTATAGCCACAAATGAATTTTCGTACTTATTTGATAAGGTTTAGAATTTCTTTAACAGGGTAGGGAGATGTGTTTGATTTTACAATTACATTAAATGAATAAACTAATGGGAGAGAGTAATTTTTTGGTAGATTGTCTCCAAAAATGGGAACCAGCAATTCCTCCCATTCCTATTCTATGTATGCTTCTCCTTTATCAAAAGATGGGGTCTGTGACTCCTCTCTTTTAATCTGTGCTGGCCCTGTGACTTGCTTTGACCCTATATCAGTTTTGGGTGTAGAGCTTAAGAGATCTGACAGTTTCCACTTTTGCTGTTTTGAAAGCCAAGCACCAAGTAAGAAGTTGAATCTTGTTGGAGAGAGAGGACCAGCCAGTCTCTGGCTGTTCCATTCACCCTAGCTGAGGTATCAGCCATGTAACTGAGGCCAACTTGATGGTGCAGCTATAGTCCAACTTCCAGCTAAATATGTTTGCCTAAATTTCCTCAAGTAATGCTCTCTGGAACTGAGGGGTCCAGCTGACCCTAGACAATCTGAAAAACATCATGAAATCTAATAAACCCTTTTTATGCCACTAATTTTTGCAAACCAACCGACATTATGGAATTAAATTATAATTTCATAACTTTTTTTGGAATATTAATTAAACTAAATTAGAATTGGAAAGAGAAGAAAAGTATAACTAAGGCAGGGAACAAACCAAGAATTCTGATCCTGATATGTCTAAAGTTGAAATTTCCTTTCTTCTTAGTTTGTTTTGGTATTTTGTTGAAATTTCCTATGAAGAGAGACTGACTTGGCTCTTGTCAGCATTTGAATTTCTTAGCCCTATTTCATGAATTTCAGATATTTCTAACCCTTGTGTTTTGATAGAGTATATTTAGTGTTTTGTATTTAAATTGCTAAGTGATATGAAAACTACATAGAAAAAGGATCCTAACTTTCTTTTACTTGGCCAGCATCCCGCTTGAAATACTGTGGAGAAAATTTTGAGTTGAATAGGAGAAACACTAGACTCAAAGTGCCTCGGTTTTCCAAAGCTGTCATCTTCCTGTAGGTTTCTTATGCAGAATAACCTGTTCCATATTCAGGAGGTAAGTATCAATGGTTTTTTACGTGGATATCAATATAGGATTTGACATGCCTGTTACCTTATTCTCAATAAGATTATGAAAATGTATGCATTAACTGTTTTTGTTTTCTTGGCTTTAAGGACTACAACTGTAAGTCAACCATATATAAAAGCACATTAGAAAGTGTAAAAGAAACAATACTTTAAAAAGAATAGATCAGATATTTATAGTGGACTTGCTTCTAACTTACTAAGAACCAAATCAAATAACATATTTTCTCACAACAATTCAGTGTCTTGGGAATTTGCAAGTGTTTAAACAAGTTCTAAGTTTGTTGCTCATCCAATTCTCAGAGAAGTTTAAATTTGAAATATAAAAAGACTTTTGCATTCTTCTTGTTGCAAGCATCCAGATTCGAAACCATCTACATTTTCCCTGTAAAAACAGAAATTGGTGAGAAAAAATATTTTAGATTTAGGTGGACATTTTAACAATGCATGAAAAGATTTGGTAGGGGTCTAAAAAAATGGCGATGACCCAGCAGTTATTTAAAACTTAAAAGATTTGTAACCAACCCAAATGCCCATCAATGATAGACTGGATAAAGAAAATGTGGCACATATACACCATGGAATACTATGCTGCCATAAAAAAGAATGAGTTCATGTCCTTTGCAGGGACATGGATGTAGGGAAGCCATCATTCTCAGCAAACTAACTCAAGAATAGAAAACCAAACACCACATGTTCTCACTCATAAATGGGAGTTGAACAATGAGAACACATGGACACAGGGAGGGGAACATCACACACCTTTGCCTAATGGGGGATGGGGGGCAAGGGGAGGGACAGCATTGGGAGAGCATTAGGACAAATACCTAATGCATGCGGGGCTTAAAACGTAGATGACAGGTTGATAGGGGCAGCAAATCGCCATGGCACAGGTATACCTATGTAACACACCTGAACATTCAGCACATGTATCCCAGAACTTAAAGTAAAATAATAAAAAAAAGTTAAAAAGGATCTTTCCTGCATTAAGAATACCCAGCCACTATTCACTCCACCATGGTAGTATTGGAAAAGGCGGACAGCTAATGCACTTGACACTCTTAACAAAGAGTGATTTAATCATATTTTATACTAAGAGCAATGGATGCTAACAAGGCCTTTAGAAAAAGACATAAACTTATGTATGTTTTAGAAAGATCATTCTGAATACAGTGTAGAAAATGGGTCAGAGACAAGCACACTTGGAAGGAGGGCTTCGGCACTGGTCCAGTACTTCAACTCTGGTGGCAGAGATGGAACCTCTCAGGCAACTTCTGCCTGGGATCCCCTTTCCTGTATTTCCAAATTGCTCAGCTCTTCATTTCTTATGTGTCTCAGCTCAAAAGTTGCCTTATCAGAAAGGCTTTCCCCAAGCACCCTATAAAATAGTTCAACTACCACTCTCTACCCCCACTTCATATTATACCCCTCTGCTTTATTTTTTTCATAGTATTTCTTTTCCTCTGACATTTGTTTATTTTCTGTGTTTCTTCATTAGAATGTAAGCTGCTTGAGGAGAGAAACTTTGGGTCACTGGCATCAATGGCTCCCAAAAGATTTCAAACAACTTGCTACTCCAAGTATGATCTATGGACCAGCAGTATTGCTATCACCTGGGAACTTATTAAAAATGCAGCATTTCATACCCCATTCTAGAACTACAGAATTAGTAGCTAATTCATTTTGACAAGATCCAAAGTAATTCATGTATGCATTAAAGCCTGTGGAGCACTAGCCCAGCACACTTAATTTTTTTAAATTTTTTTAAATTATACTGTAAGTTCTGGGTTACATGTGCAGAACGTACAGGTTTGTAACATAAGTATACACGTACCATGGTGGTTTGCTGCACCTATCAACCCGTGACCTACATTAGGTATTTCTCCTAATGTTATCCCTCCCCTAGCCCCCCAGCCTCCACAGGCCATGGTGTGTGATGTTCCCCTCCCTGTGTCCATGTGTTCTCATTGTTCAACTCCCACTTATGAGTGAGAACATGTGGTGTTTGGTTTTCTATTCTTGAGTTAGTTTGCTGAGAATGATGGTTTCCAGCCATCCATGTCCCTGCAAAGGACATGAACTCATCCTTTTTTATGGCTGCATAGTATTCCATGGTGTATATGTGCCATGTTTTCTTAATCCAGTCTATCACTGATGGACATTTGCGTTGGTTTCAAGTCTTTGCTATTATGAATAGTTAGCCCAGCACACTTTAGATCCTCAATAAATTCTAGATGACAGCATAATATTAGAATAGGTAGAAGGTGACCATTGGATGAACATATAGACAGAGCTACAGGAAAAAGTCAAGGATGATAACTGAGTTTTGGGGCTTATAGCTTACGCAATTAGGAAGGTGGTGAAGCAACTCAACGAGATAGGAAACCCAAGTTTATATCTTGGGTTTAGATGAAAATTTAATTTTTTCAAAGGTGAAAATTTAGTTTTGGATATTTTGGATGTGCGTATCCTGTGAACAGTCAGTAGCTAATTAAATATGGAAACCTGAAATTCAAAGGGAGATCAAGATTAGGCATATAAATCTTCTATAAATATAAATGGAACCATTCAGAGACTTACACTTTAATAGATCTCCCAATTATACCGTGACCAGATGCAGACAAACTGGAGCATTCACAAAAACATTTCTGTTTCAATGTTGAACTAATGGAAAGTGGCTTTAGCTATTTCTCATTTACTTAATTTTGCCCCAGTCAGACGTGCCTCATGATTTAGAAGGAGTACAAACTTCCTGCTACTTATTACCCAAGATGTTTAATCCTTTTAACCTACAGTTCATATTATTAGTCAATATTGGCTGATACTAATTACGTGTTGTGGTTATTATTAACTGCTTATACTAAGAGGGAGACCAATCTGCTAAAGGCTTTCTTTCTAAAATTTCTGCCTTAGCTATGTATACATTATATAATCTTGGCAGGCAATCAGAAGAAATATTTAGGGGGCATTTTTTTCAGCTTCACTGAAGCATTTAACTTAATTGATTACACTTGGCTTTTACAGACAATGAGGACTCCCTGGTTGTAAATTGCTCAGATGACTATTCTCAATGGATGATGATATAATTAAACAGTAATTTCTGTTTCAAATGATAACATACACAAACAATGGGCAGCTTCCATTTGCTTGGGGATAAAATAATTTAGAAAAATTACAGACTATCACTATTTAAAAGCAGCAAATGTAAAAGAGGAGACTAATGGTTTTCTGGTGAGTTTTTTCACTATTAAATCAGAGAATTCTCTAAAAAGATAATGCTAGCTGTATTGAAGGCAAACTAGTGTGTTTATTGACTTCTGTGAGCACCTGTAAGAGGTTCACTTTGCAAGGGTATATCAAACACGGTGCACTTTTTCATAACTTTGCTTTAGTATTCCACTTCTCAGAATCTCTCTCAAATAAATACTTTAAAATAATTCCCAAAAAAACCACACAACTATCTTCAACTGGTTATTTTGCCATTATAAATGAATTTAAAAAAATTATTTTAACTGTCTCTTCTCTCTCAGAAGTGTGACCAGATTTTGGGATCTTTCTTCTGGGATTCCTCACATAAGGGAGAGCAAGTTGAATAAAGAGAAATATCCAGGCTTTTGGAGAAAACAGGCAACAGGATGCTATTGAAGTTGGCCATTCAACAGTTGCTTCAGGAAAGTGGAGGCCCTGTGCTTTCAAAACACTAAGACAGAGATAGGAGTAAGTGAAGTGTTCGCATGTTATGGGAGACCCAGACTGAAGTTAACACAGAATGACTGGGGGCCACTGGAGGGGCACATCCCGCCCGTCAGGATTCCTGAGGCCACGGGCTATGCTACTGTGATGCTCTGAGTCCCAGAGCCCATCCTCAGCTTCCCAGATTACTTATCTCCAGGGCTCTTAAAAATTCCCAAGGAAGGCCACACCCTCCCTGTGTCCCTTAAAAAATGATTAGAATTGTTAAAAAATCTTCAATATCTAGTGGTGATGGTGAGGCGGTGGGGCCTATTAAAGAAACCATCATGACTTGGCTTGCTGCTTAATATCTTCCATCTATTAAACATATTTGATCAAATTCTCCCAAATATTCATTTGAAACAACACGACTAATATATCAGGTTCTCTTAAGTGTTTGAAACCTATAAAGGTACACAAATAAAACATAAGTGATCACTATAAGACCTTATTTCTATCTACACACATACACATATATAAACTGGTCACAGAATATTACAATTGCATGCTTATCTTAACATCCTCTAAAAGCAGAGCCTGAAACTAAGGCTTGCAGGCAGGTGGTTCATTGGGAAATGATTCCAGGGAATGTCAGCAAGAAATCCTGAGCAGAGTGAAGAGAGGAGGAAAAGCCAATCAGGGATGCCTTATGAAGTTGATCATCACTCTTGACACCTGGTGGTAGGCTCTAAATTAATTTATGAATGCATCTGAGAACTGTTAGCAAGGAAACGAAAGCTCTGCCATCCTCATTGGTCAAGGGAAGCCACACCAGTGTTAACTATCTTGAACTTTCAGGGTGCACATTTGTGGGCTCCCAAGTAGGTTCTCTTGAGGACAGGAAGTGAGAGTTATGTGACTTGAGCCCTAGTTACAAATCCTGTGTGGATCTGGTCATTATGGTAATGTCTAGAGGAATAGACGAAACCAAAAAGTTTCAAAATTATCCCAAGTAATTTGCCGTCATCAATAGAACATTATGTTGTACCCACTCTTTCACTATATGATTTCCTAGCTGACTGCCACTTTATACAATATTACTCCTGTCATAATTCTTTTAGATTTCTATATCCAGTTAATGACTGACTCTAGGATACTGGCCATTGTCTTGATCTCACCTCCATTCCCCTCCATTCTACCTTTACCACTAGAGGGCATATATTAGACTATGTTATTACTAATAATGGTAACATCTCTACTCTCTCTATGACACATCCAGCTTTCCATACCTCACCTACTATATTTTTGATAACTTAACTTCAACATTGCTTATGCCTCACAAGGACCTATAATCCATCGATACTTTGGATTGTTCCTCCATTTCTTGTGTTCTTATTCCCCATCTTACCCAAATGAACTTTCTTACGAAGTGTTCTAATTAGTCTCTGATATATGTCTTCAACTGTCTGTCCTCTCTCACATTTTGATGAAATCACACAGATAAAGCCACTCTTCCTAATCTGTGCATCCTCCCACACAGAGGGAAATCACAGGAGCAGGCTGAGTGGTCTCACTTAAACTCACCACCACCACCCTCAAGTAGGCTCTTAATGCTGCTCAGGAATCAAACATTTCCCTATCTCATTTACTCTCCCACTCTGGCAATGATTTCCCGTCATTTCCTCACTCCTCAAACTTCTAACACCTTTCTTATCTTCATTCTCTGCTAACCACCTTGTCTCCCATTTCACTAACAAAACACAAGCAATCGAAAAACTTCTAGGAGACCCCACTACCTCTTCTACTCTCTTCCCTGTATATTTTCCTGTGTACTCTACCCTCTCTCCAATTTCAGAGAACAAACTCCTCTTCTTGTAGTCTAAACTTTGTCACTTTTAACCTCTCAAAGTCAACTTGCAAACAGTACATTCAGGTTTTGTGGGGCCTGAGCTTATAAATTTTGGAGGCCTTCTTTAGGAAAGAGTACAAAATTATACATATAAAATTAGGTACAAATGTGAATATTTATTTAAGATAAATCTCCACATGCTTGAAATATAAAAAAAATTGGAAAATTCTATAAGAATCTTTAAATTAACAAAAATATATTTTTATTAATAGCCTAGTATGTTTCTATAATGCTTTTTTTCTTCTATATTTTGTTGCATACTTGTTGGTTGCCTTTGCATATGCCAAGAATAAATTTTAGAATAATTTAAATAGATTAGAGTGGAATAGAATGGTAATCCAGTCATTCTTTTAGTATTATTGATTTTGAATTTATTGTTAAAATTTTAGAGAATTTTATTTCAACTTCAATATTGGTAATGTCATGTGTATTTTTAAAGACTGTTGTCAAATTGGGGCAATATTAGTTTTTTTCACATATGAGTTATAAAATCTTACTCTTGTGAGTGACAACTTTTAAATACCTGTATTCTTTTAGTGGACAATAGTATCCAATTTTTTATGACATCATTATATTATAACTTGCATATTTCTTTATCAATGTCTTTATTTTGTGGTAAACTATCAAGAAACAAATGTTTTCAATGTGTTCATATGATTTATTTCTTCTTATAAATTTGAATATCAAGTAAGCTGAGTCTATTCATTAATTCCAGTAGAAAGTGTATACTTTCTTAATTATTCATTTTTATAAGATTAAAAATATTAAAGCAATTTGGCTTCTTTAATGTCAGAAATAACTTAGCTTGCCTTAATAGAGGAATATATAAAAAATGATTTTATTGGTACAATCATAATTTTACAGACTGTATTGTCATGTATATCCCAGACAGAATACTTGTGTTGTGACTAGTTATCAATGAAAAGCAAATTCTCTACCTCCAATTTTTAATATTTGATAATTTGAAGAATTTCCCAAAGACTAGTTTCTGATTCCACACATTGTAAACTTTTTCCTCATCCATTACTAACATAATTCAGGTACTGGGCATGGCAGGTCACTTTCATATTGAGATGTGGCCTCTGATCCTGCCAGGATGCCAGGTGAGTCAGCACTGTGGTAAGAGATAGGATTGCTGGAAGACATTGTACATGGAATCAGGCAGCAGTGACTGTCAACTACGAAAACATATCTTGCTAAACTCAAATCAAATGTATTCCCTAATTATATCTACCCCTAGACTAATCTGCCAAAATGTCGGTGACCACTCTGACACCACCTAACATGACTAGACGGGATGCTGAAGTGGGAAGAAATACTAGTCCTAATCATTTTGAGGCAGGATAGGTGGTCAAGGAAGTAGCCGTGTTCTCAGGATGTAGCAACCATGGTGACCATACAGCCAACACAGTAGGCCTAAGCATTCGCATTGTAATTGAGCTCATTCAAGCCATATGCACTTTGATTTTACCTGTCCTCAAAGTGACCCTTTTCTCTTTTTAATGGTAAAAAAAATCCCTGGGTGAAGATTTAAAATGCTAATGAACATGTGATATATGAACAAGCATGTACAGCTACTGCACATGTGTACCCAGGAGACCACTCAGAACATGCTTACTATAATACCTCTTTCCACCTCCTTATGGATGATCGTGTAAGACTCCTGTAAAGGTTGTCTCCTGGCCAGGCATAGTGGCTTACACCTGTAATCCCAGCACTTTAGGAGGCTGAGGTGGGAGGATCACAAGGTCAGGAGTTCAAGACCAGCCTGGTCAATATGGTGAAACCACGTGTCTACTAAAAATACAAAAATTAGCTGGGCGCGGTGGCATGTACCTGTAGTCCCAGCTACTAGGGAGGCTGAGGCAGAAGAATTGCTTGAAGCCTGGAGGCAGAGGTTGCAGTGAGCTGAGATTGTGCCACTGCACTCCAGCCTGGTGACAGAGTGACACTCGGTCTCAAAAAAAAAAAAAAAAAAAAAAAGAAAGGCTGTCTTCCTCATGCCTGTCTTTGCAGTCTCACCTTTATGAGCAGCTTGCCCTGCATTACCTCTCTCTGAGTACACAGTGTATACTGTCTATTCTGCACTTACTTTAAAAATATTTTTTTTCCTTTTTAATAAATTACTCTATCTTGCACTTCTTTTGCTGTGTGTCTCTTGTTTAAATTCTTTTAAATTAAGAAGACAAGAACTGAGGTTTCACATCAGCCATTAAAAATTTGTGTTTAAAATTTCCTTGCATTTGAAAATTTTGCAAGAGAACATACGACAATGTCAACCTATTGCTCGGGTACCTTTTATGGCCTTGGGAGTAGCCTGTGAAACTGAGGGTCCCTGAAACTTAAACTTCATTAGCTTTGTAGCACATCTGCCTATAATAACCAAGAATTTTGTTTCCAACAAAAATATTTCCCTACCTGAGGTTTTTCTCATCAGTAAACAAATATTCTTTTACATATATCATGAATAAAATGTCTTGACAATTCTTTGCTCTCACACTATCACCTCATTATTTTTCTTTCCTTTATAGTAAAACTATTTTTTAAACAGCAAAACTGTGTTGGATAAATTCACTCTAATTCCTCCCCGCCTAGGTTCTTCAAATTTGCTACATGCTTCCTTAATCTTTATCTCTCCTTTCAAACTGTTTTTGTCAATGTCACCAGTGAAGTAACCTCAAAATCCCACATTCACCCACTCTTACCTGCAGCTCCTGAAAACTTTCTCATCTCAGTTAATAGTGACTTCATTCTTCCACTTACTCAGGCCAAAATACTAGAGTCATCTCTGATTCATGGTTGCTCTCATAAAATTGTCAGAAAATCCTGTAGGCTCTCCCTTCCAGTACCTCTTGGTATAAGTCATCATCCTCTCTCACATAGAGTAATGCCACAGTCTCCTAAATGGTCAGTCTCTCTTCACTCTATTCTCAACAGTGCTGTTGGAGAATTTGAAACTATAAGCCAGGCCCATCTGCCGCTCAAAACACTTCCATAGCTTATACTTTTACTTGGAATATAAGCTGAAGTCTTTACAAAGGCTCTAAAAGCTCTTCCCAATCTGTCCATGGCCTTCCTGCCCTCATCTCTACTCCTCCTTTGCTCACTCAGCCTTCCTTGTTAGTTCTTGAACATCTGGGTGGGCTCCCAGGCAGGGCAGTTCCTCTATCTGCAGTGCTCTGGCTTGGACTATCCATGCTGCTGGGCCCTTCTCGCTTTCAGTCTTTACTCAAATTTTATCTTCTCAGTCATGCTTCCCTGATCATTTAAATTTAAATGATTTATTTAATTAAAATTTAATAAAATTAAATTTTAAAATTTAACGTTGCACTCTCTACAATTTTTCTATAGACTTCTGCTTTAGAAGTCTGTAGAACTAATAGCACTAATCTCTACTCATATTCTATAGATCATGATTATTCTGTTTATTATCTGTTGATCCCCTTGACTCCACCCCCACTTTCTAAGAACAGAAGCTCCAAGAAGGCAGGGTACTGCTGGAATGAAGAATATTGGCCAGTACACACACAAAAAGGCGCTCAGTAAAAATGTATTTGTTGAATACATGAAAGAACAAATGAAGGACTAAAACTTTCTCTTATATTTCTGATGTACCTCTCATCAGTAACATACAACTGGAATATTCTTTAACTCAGTATTAATTACTTATCTTTTTTTTTTTTTTTGAGAAGGAGTCTTGCTCTTTTGCCCAGGTTGGAGTGCAAGGGCGTAATCTCAGCTCACTGCAATCTCTGCCTCTGGGATTCAAGTGATTCTTTTGCCTCGGCCTCTGGAGGAGCTGGGATTACAGGCATGTGCCCCCATGCCTGGCTAATTTTTGTATTTTTAGTAGGGACGGGGTTTCACCATATTGGCCAGGCTGGTTTCGAACTCCTGACCTTAGGCGATCCACACGCCTTAGCTTCCCAAAGTGCTGGGATTACAGATGTGAGCCACCACACCCAGCTGACTTACTTATCTTTTAACTATCATGTTTTATTCATTTATAGTAATAGTAATTGATGGTATATTTTCGATTTTTTCTCCCATCTTAGTATTTTTGAAAATGTTGCTATTTCTACACATCTTTCACTTTTCTCCTTTCTTGTTTTCAATTGGATTGCTGAGGAATTTTTTCCCATTTCCAATTTTCCTCTCTACTAACTTGGAAACTATTGTCAACCAGCCTTAGAAGCATGGACTCTCTATTCATAGTTTAATTTGCTAGTCTAATAAATGGATTTTTTTATAGCTAAAGAAAGCACTAAGCTTCACCATATACCATTCTTCCTTGTCCATTTGTAAAGTTCAGAGGTATAATGACAAATTTTTTAAGTGCAACTTTTAAAACTAAACAAAATATCATACTCAAACATATCTCAGCACAAATGGAAACTTGAAAGGTGAAGCCCCCTAACTATATAGTTAGAGAACATGCCTACTGTTGACAAAAAGAGTCAAACACTGTAAAATATTTGAAGATATTTATTCTGAGACAAAGCCTGATTAATGGACCATGACATAGCCCTCAGGAGATCCTGAGAACATGTGCCCAAGGTGGTTGGGTCGCAACTTGGTTTTCTACATATTAGGGAGACATATGGCAACAATCAATACATGTAAGATGTACATTGGTTTGGTCCAGAAAGGCAGGACAACTGGAAGCCAGGGTTTCCAAGTCACAGGCAGATTCAAAAATTTTCTGATTGGCAATTGATTGAAAGAGTTATTATCTATAGAAAGGAATGTCTAGGTTACCATAAGGGATTATGGAGACCAAGGTTTTGTCATACAGATGAAGCCTCCCGGTAGCAGGATTCAGAGAGAATAGATTGTAAGTGTTTATTATCAGACTTAAAGAGTGTTCTGTCAGCAGTTCCAAAAGAGAAGAGGGTATAATGAGGTATGTCCAGCTCCCCCTTCCCATCACAGCCTGAACTAATTTTTCAGGTTAACTTTGGAATGCCCTTAGCTGAGAGGAGGGGTCCAGTCTGTTAAGATGGTTGAGGGGTAGGCAGTAACACTTTATTTTTGGTTTACACTACCTTAAGACAGTCTGACTGTACTGTAGAATTACTTCAGAAATGTTAAACAACACTGATGTCTGGGCCTCATTTCCACACAGTGAAATCATAACCCTCAGTGAGGAACAGACAGCAGGTAGCTCCAATGATTCTAATGTGTAGTCAGAGATGAGTGTCGCTGCCATGAATCATTCATATGCCTGAGCTGGCAACACCTGGCATTTTATATTCCAAATATCTTTACATACTATTCTCAATCTCTAACTTTCTATTTATAGCAGATAAAAATTCACAGATTCATATTTTCCACAAAGTTTTTCTTCTCACTATTTGAAATTCTTACTTATTAGAAATTATGTTGAATTGACAAACATTTTGTAAGTCAGATATCATCTAGAAAGTTACAAGCAGTGGTGTGTTGGTATTTAAACACTGATTTTCTCAAGGGGAAGAAGACTGATTTGTAGCATTTGCCAATTTCACTGGTGTAAATACTTCCACAATGACCAGTGTTAAGCTATCAACTAGCTGTCACTAATATTGGAATTAGGAAGAGAGGTGCACAGTTAGCTTTCATGAGCCTGTGAGCCTGCTCCAGGACACAATTGAGTGTAAGGTTTTCAATCACATTACAGAATGATAGATTCACCACCTCATTTCACAAATGAAGGATCCAACATGCAGAGGGTTTAAGTCACTTTTTCTAAATGAAACATTTACTTATGAGAATATTGGCAATTAATATTGAAGCAGAATGTGAGATGAAACTGTAAAATTATGTGAAAACACACACACATACATATTAATTAATAAAAATCCCAATTAACCTAACATTATGTATTGACTGACTTTCTTTTCTATTGCTAAGGTGTGATGTCTCTTCATTACTTAGTAAGTGCTTATATATAACAGGCATGTTCCTGGTTTACGTATTATGCTCCATTTTCTCTATTACTCTTCTTTAGATTAAAATTTGTTTTCACATTTACCAGGACATTCTGCCTCAATTCTCCTCTTTTGAAACTATGGCTTGGCTCTTTCTTACATATTTTTCCAGATATCTTTAAAATATTTTAAATTATTTTCAAATAAATTATTTATAATTTTGTTTAGAATTAACCAATTAAATATGTAATTAAGGAAAATTAATAGTTATTAAACATTAAGAATTTCCATCAGAGGAATTTTAATGCATTTATTATTTTTGTTGTTATTAGGAGTCAGTTTTCTTTCTTCATTTAAAAGTAAATAAAAGATTTTCATAGAAAAATTATTAATTCTGTTTCTTGGCCAATTATATTTTCAAGATATGAAAACATATAAATACAATAAACTATGCCATATATATGTACACAACCATACAAATACATATATATATACACATTTGATCCTCATTCTCAAGTTGCATATTTGTGAATTTGCATGCTCACTAAAATTTATTTGTAACCCCACAATCAATACTCCGGGTGCTTTAATGGTCATTCAATGTCAGTTGTGACTATGTACGGAGCAGCAAAAACTTTGAGTCACCCCCACTGATGCACATTCCCAGCGAGGTCAAACAAGGTGATGCTTCACCTTCTTGTTTCAACTGTTTACCTTAAGAAGTGCCCTTTCTGTGGTCCATTTAGTGCTGTTCTTTAACGATTTTTTGTGCTTTTTGTTTGTGATTTTTGGTTTAAAATGGCTTCTAAGTATAGGGCTGTAGCCTACTGTCCCTAAGCACAAGAAGGCTTAATGTGTCGTAAGGAGGAGAAAATATGTGTGTTAGATAAGCTTCGTTTGGGTGTGTGTTATAGTGCTGTTGACCTTGCGTTCAACATCGATGAATCAACAATACGGTATATCCAGGAAAGGGGAGAAGAAATTCGTTGATTTATATCTGAAGCTACTCTCGAAAGTGCTAAAGTGACACCTATAGTGCTTGATGAAGCTACAGAAAAAAAATAGAAATGGGTAAATTTGTGTCATCATGGGATGACAATCAATAAAAAAGGTGTATTAAACATCACTATTATGAGGCTAAAAGCCAAAGAAATTTACAGTCACATAACCAGAGCCGGTAAAATGATAAGCCCTTTGTGGCTAGTGTTTTATAATGAAGAAATACTGCATATAATTATTTGTAAGAAATGTATATTAAATACTGTCTTTAAATAGAAATACACATAAAACATGGTTATATATTGATTGGTTTATGAAAATGTTATGACCAGAGGCTTATAGGAAGCTAACCCTGTATTTCACCCAGGAGCAGTAGCACAGTATTCAGTAATTCAGTGTTGGAGGCGATTTTATAGAAGAACATAATTACCATGAATGACAGGAATCAACTCTATATGATTACATGTATGATTACATGTATGATTACATGTATGAATACATGTATGATTACATGTATTTTACAGAGTTTAGGTAGCTGATTTTTATGTACTTCGGATGTTGTATGTGTGTGCACATATAGATTAGTATACACATGAATTTTCTATCCAAACATTTAAGTATTTTCTCATATTATTATAAATTATTTCTCATCATTACTTTTAATGAATACTTAAGGTTTTCTGTGGAAAAATATACTTATGTCACCATTGCCCCTTTGTTTACGGAGTCATATTCAAGTTTCTAATGTCTAATATAGAACTAAATGTATTTTATTATCCACATATAGGATTATTTCTTAATAATAAATTGTAGGAGCCCTTTTCTGCTTTGTCATAATGTTGTAATATTTCTTTACTTAAAAAGCTTTAAAAATTTATGTTCTCATTTTTTATATAAATGTGAAAGTAAAACAATAATGTTGAAACTCCTATATGAAATATTAGGAATATAATATTTTTGTGTCATGTTTTGGAATGACAGAACCTAACTACCCAAACTTAACTACCCCCAACCATTTAAATAATTTCATTAATTTAACTCAAGATTTAATCTTTATCTGATTTTCTCTAATATTTAAATTTGCATGCAAATGTATAAAGAATTAGCTTAGGTCTATATGTTTATTCGGTTTAACGCTCAAAGTCGATCCTTTTCAGTAAGAATAACCTGGATAACAGATACCTGATTTTTATTTTGTGTTTAGTGTTTATACTGTTTTTAGCAGGCCTTTTGCCAATTAATCATTAACATGAACTCTATCTTTGCATCTTTTTTTTTCTTTTTTGAGACTGAGTCTTGCTCTGTCACCAGGCCAGAGTGCAATGGCGCGATCTCGGCTCACTAAAACCTCTGCCTCCCAGGTTCAAGCAATTCTCCTGCCTCAGCCTCCTGAGTAGCTGGGACTACAGGCACGTGCCACCGTGCCCAGCTAATTTTTGTATTTTTAGTAGAGACGGGATTTCACCATGTTGGCCAAGATGGTCTCAAACTCTTGACCTCGTGATCCGCCCTCCTCAGCCGCCCAAAGTGCAGGGATTACAGGCATGAGCCACCACACCTGGCCTGCATCCTGAACCTAGATGATTTACAACTTGATGATGTATGATTTGGGCACTGATTTTTTTCTTTTAAGGTTTTATAGATATTGCTTTATTTTCTTATATCGTTTGGTATTATAAGATGCATTCTGAGGTCAGTTTGATGTTTGTTCCATTATACATATGCTGTTTATGTTGTTTTTATTGTTCAAATCATTGGATCAAATTACTGAAGATGGTGGTATGTCATCTTGTATATTCAAATATATTTTCCCCAAGTTCTAAGACTTCAGTACTTAACATTCTAAAATCATATGTATATTAAGTTTTAAAACCATATTATTTCAATTAAAAACAGTTTGGTTGATGAAACATTGCAGAACAGTTATTTCTGTTTGAGTTTCATTGTTACAGTATAATCTCTATAATTTGTTTTTGCTTAGAAGTGTGGACAGAACAAGATAATGTATTATGAGATATTTTAAACTATTAGCATAAACTATTAGCATATGTGATTGGAAGATTTTTATATTATATTAATGTGATTATTTCCATTATTTCTTTGAAGATTATATTTTCCTCATCAAAATAAAATATATTTGTTGTAACCAAAATATATTAAATAAATTATAATATAATATCTTATAGAATATTTTCGGCTTCCTTTAAGAAGCTGGTATTCAATTGACTGATAGTATTATTTATTCCTTTGGACCGTTTTGGGTTCTTTAAAGCATATATCTTCAGCTTACATAATCTACATTGGCGGTCAAACATTAACTAAGATGCAATCCTTTGCATTTTATGGTTGATCATAATCTTATGGTTATGCTTATCCATGTGTACAGATGACTGTTTTAAGAAAGTGCAATGCAGAGTTACAGTGCAGGCAAACTAGGGTTTATCATACCATTAAGTAGCATTTAGCTTACCACAACTTGTTTTTCTCTCAGGAGAAAATAACACTCAATGCAACTTATGATTTTCTTTCCCTATCAGAATCTCCTTAGCCACCACGCAACATTAAAACAACAGGCAAATGAAGTCCATTAAAGGTGGGTGTGATCCTTACAATGAGGTATGCAGTGTCTTTTAGAGTGTAGACCTCGTGGACATGTGCAGAAAAACAGTTAATATTTCCTCCTCATTAACTCCTTAGAGTTTGAGATTTGGCCATGAGACATAGTTTCTTTCAACCACCATTCATGCGTTGTTATTTACTTCTGCTCAGATTGTAGTATTTTTTATGATATTCTTTATAAAACAATGTGTAGCAATGCCTCATAAGCTATTGTTGCCATCTGTTTTTTCCACTAATTCCTGGAACATTCACCTGCCCTGAACATTCATAAAATTTGCATTTTAACACCCAGTGTGACAATTTTTCTAGGAGTTTTTGATGTCCCTCTAGTACTATATTTTCTACCTGCTTTGCCAGCCATTTCAGTTTATAACATTTCTCCAGAATGACAAATAAAGGCAGAGACTAAATTAGAGTAAAAAAATAGCTTACAAAAAGGCACTAAATATGGGAAACTCCACAATGCTTTCTTTATTTTGGCAGAGAACATAAGCCATTACTCATTCTCTTTTGTTAACAGGCAATAAAAAATGCTTATTAACTACAATCTTCAGTATAATTCTATAATATTTTGGCAAGGAACTAAACTTTGATAAATTAATGCTGTTCTACAGCAACAATAAACACATTTAGCGAACATTTAAACCCTTTGCAATGTGACTTCAACCTGTCTTTCCAGATTTTTTTCTTTTCCTTTAAGCAGGAGGTAATGTATCGTCATCACTGGTATGCTGGTGAATGTTTAACAACCAACTATTTGAAAAAATATTCTGATTTTTAGTGTTTGCCAATTTCTGAGGTGTGAATACTTCAACCGTGGTTGATTTCAAACATGCTCCTTTGAGAAGAGATCTGCATAATCAGCACTCAATATTTTATACAAGCCAGCCCAGAACGCCCCTGGGTGTGCTGAAGTCAGTTTGGAATTCTGTTATACTATTTATGAGTTATGTGATTGAGGTCAAGCTGCCAAATCTTCTTCTTTCTTTATATTCTCACCTATAAGGTAAAACTTAACATGTAGGGGTTTTTAAAAATAGAGATGCTATATGCAAAGCAATGTGCATGTTAGCAAATAATAGATTCACTGAGTAGTAGGTACTGTTAGTGTTATTACATCCTCCTACATTTCTGTCTTAGTCAGCTCAGGTTGACATAACAAAATACCGCAGATTGGTTGGGTTAATTAACAGATTTTTTTTTTGTACATTTGGAGGCTAGACGTTTAAGATTGAGGTGCCACTGGAATAGGTCTCTACTGAGACCTCTCATCCGGCTTGCAGATAGCTACCTTCTCATGGTTGTCTCACATGGCCTTTTCCTCTGTATGTTCCTGGAGAAAGATCTCTTGTGTCTCTTCCTCTCCTTGTAAAGACAGCAGTCCTATTAGATTAGGACCCAACTCTTATGACCTTATTTAACCTCGATTATTTCCTAAAAGGTCCTATCTCTAAATTCAGTGTCCATATGAATTTTGGGGAAACACATTTCAGTCTCTAACAATCCCTGCGCATCCTCTAGGTTTTTCCCTGTGTACTTGCTATTTCCCAGGCATGCTTTGTTCTTGCTATTTTCTGTAATGATATGTCATGTTGATAGATGAGTTCAGATTGTCAAATCCAAATTTATCAAAGTCCACCATAGCTACCATTATCTTCAGAAATACCTTCCTGATCACCCTGACAAAAATAATCTTTCTCATTTTAGCACTCAAAAAGCTTCGGTTGTATCTTTCCTATGATGCCTATCTTTCTCTGACAAGTGTTATGCCATATTTCATTAATTCTAACATACAAATTTTTCTCCACTTTAACATCCCTGAGATGTTTTGCTCTGATCTTAAGACAGAATAAAGATGAGGACTGCCTTATCAATTAAAAATACTTTAATAACACCTTACATCATTGGCCAGCATTAGTAATATGACATAGAAATATTTCTTCAAATGCTCATTTTGCCAATGCTTTCATATATATATAGGCACTTAACAAAATTAAAAGCAAAATTACATCTATGAATATAAAATTTTCTTCACATGTGAAAAGTTCAGTTTTTACATTCCTTTATTCTGTAAAAATATATTATTTAGCATATATTTTAGTTGATTTGGCAACTTGCAAATAAGATCTCTGCTCATGTGGACAAATTTAAAATAGGGAGAAATGAGTAACTTTCTATGTGCTGTGATTTTAAATTCTAAATTAAAGAAGCCTAATTTAAATTACCTAAATAAAAAAGTACATTTATATTAACCATATTATATTAAAGCATAATACTCAAAATGGTAAAATCAGGACTCATATAAATACAAAATAAATATGTATCCAAGGGGGTAAGGTGTTGATCTAAAACTGGTTAATCTGGTTAATGTCTTACAGGGTGATAAATCTTTGGGATTTTGTTGGTTCTCCTAAAAGAAACTGTTTGCATTTGTACTGGAAAACCATTACAAGTTAACCTCTATCCTTAAGTAGTGATAAAATAGGCAGTTAGAGGCAGAGCAAGATGGCTGAATAGAAACCTCCACCAAGTATCTCCCCCTGCAGGAACACCAAATTTAACAACTATCTACACAAAAAAGCACCTTCATAAGACCCAAAAATCAGATGAGTGATCACAATACCAGGTTTCAACTTCATATTGACAAAAGAGCACCGAAGAGGGTAGAAAAGACAGTCTGAAATTGCTGACACCACCCCTCCCACTCCACGACAGCTGCTGGCCATGTGGTGTGGAGAAGAAATCTGTCTGCTTCGGGGAGGGAGAGTACAGTGATTGTGGGACTTTATACTAGGACTCAGTGCTTCCAACACTGGGCAAAACTCAGCTAGCACCCATGTAGAGAACATTTAGACCAGCCCTAGCCAGAGGGGAATTTCACATTTAAGTGGTCAGAACTTGAATTTCAACAAGCCTCCCCACTGTGGGCTAAAGTGCTCTGGGGTACTAAATCAGCTCGAAAGGCAGTCTAAGCCACCAGGACTTCAGTTATGAGGCAAGTCCTAGTGCTGAACTGGGCTTGGAACTAGTGGACTTGCCGGGCATGCAACCTATTGAGACACCAGCCTGGGTGGCTAAGGGAGAGCCTGTGCTATCCCTCCCCAGCCCCAGGCAGTGCAGCTCACCGCTCCAGAAGAGATCCCTTCCTCTGCCTTAGGAGAGGAGAGGGAAGAGTAAAGCCTTTGTCTTGCAACTTGGATACCAGCCCAGCCACAGCAGGATAAGACACCAGGCAGATTTACGAGGTCCCCATTCCAGGCCCTATATCCCAAATGACATTTCCAGATGCACCCTGGGCCAGAGGGGAACCTGCTGCCTTGAAGAGAAGAATATAGTCCTTGCAAGATTCATCACCTGCTGATCAAAGGGTCATTTGGCTCTGAATTATCAGCAGTGGTATAACCAGATAGTACATGCTACAGGCCTAGGGTGAGATTCTGAGATGTGCTAGCTTCAGGTGTGACCCAACACATTCACCACTGTGGTGGCTATGAGAAAAGAACCTTCTGCTTAAGAAAAGCAGAGAGAAGAGCAAAGGAGACTTTCTCCTGAGCTTAGGTACCAGCTCAGCCACAGTGAGAAAGAGCAGAAGCAGGCTATTAGAGTCCCTGATTCCAGAACTTGGCTTTTGGATGGCAACCCTGGACCTACCCTGGGCCAGAGGGAATCCTACTGTCCTGAAGGGTGGGTCCCAGGCCCGAAAACATTCACCAAAAGCTAATTGAAGAGCCCCCGGGCTTTAAGTGAACATCAGTGGTACTCTGGCAAAAGTCCCTGTGGGCCTGCGGTGGTGGTGTATATGGGGAGAGACTCCTTTCCCTGGGGAAAGGGGAAGGAATAGTGGGAAGAACTTTGTCTGGTGGTTTCAGTGCCAGCTTAGCTGTTGCAGGTAGATCTGTAAGGTTTCGGACTCCAGGCTCTGGCTCCTGGACAACATCTCTGGACCTTCTTTGGGTCTGGGGGAACTTGCTTCTCCAAAGGAAAGGACAAAAGCCTGGATATCCTTCCCATCTACTTATTGCAGAGCCCTAAGGTATTGAAAAGATATAAGCAGTAGCCAGGTAGTAGTTACAATGGGTTTGGGGGAAGACACATTAATGGTCTGGCTTCAGGTTTGACGCTGCACAGTCCCAGTAATGGTGGTCACAGAGGTGTTTATGTCACATCTGACCCAGCACCAAGCAGCTCAGCACAGGCAGAGAGAGAGAGAGAGAGAGAAAGAAAGAGAGAGAGAAAGAGAGAGAGAGAGGCTCCATTTGTTAGGGAGAAAGTAAGGAAGATAACAAGAGTCTGCCTGGTAATCCAGAGAATTCTTCCAGATCTTACCCAAGGCCACCAATGTGGTACATCTATGAGTCTGAAAGAACCATAATATTACTGGGCTTGAGGTAGCTTCTCATGCAGATATGGCTGCAGTGAGCAAAAACTTAGATTCAACACCAAGTCCTTTCAAATATCTGGAAAGCCTTCCCAAGATGTATGGGGTCAAATAAGCCCAGGCTGCAAAGGCTACAATAAATACCTAACGTGTCAATGCCCAGACATTGATGAAAATCTACAAGCAACAAAATCATCAAGAAAACATGACCTCACGAAACTAAATAAGGCACCAGGGACCAATCCTAGAGAGACAGGGATATGTGACCTTTTAGACAGGGAATTCAAAATAGCCGTTTTGAAGAAACTCAAATATGTTCAAGATAACACAGAGAAGGAATTCAGAATCCTATCAGATAAATTTAACAAAGAAACTGAAATAATAAAAAAGAATCAACCAGGAATTCTGGAGTTAATAAATGCAATTGATGTACCTAAGAATTTGTCAGAGTCTCTTAATAGCAGGATTGATAGAGCAGAAGAAAGAACTAATCAGCTTGAAGACAGGCTATTTGAAAATATGGTCACAGGAGTTAAAAGAAAAAAGAATAAAAAACAATGAAGCATTACTACAAGATCTAGAAAACAGCCGTGAGAAGCAGCTTATCCATTCTTCCTTGTATCTCCACTGGGTTCAGGCCACCTGTCTCCACTCCTGCCTCCACCATGTCCATCAGGGTGACCCAGAAGTTCTACAAGGTGTTCACCTCTGGCCCCCGGGCCTTCAGCAGCAACTCCTACACAAGTGGGCCTGGTGTCCACATCAGTTTCTCAAGCTTCTCCCGAGTGGGCAGCAGCAGCTTCTGGGATGGCCTGGGCAGAGGCTGTGATGGGGCCAGCAGCAAGGGAGGCATCACAGCTGTCACAGTCAACCAGAGCCTGCTGAGCCCCCTTAACCTGCAGGTGGACCCCAACATCCAGGCCATGTGCACCCAGGAGAAGGAGCAGATCAAGACCCTCAACAACAAGTTTGCCTCCTTCATTGACAAGGTATGGTTGCTGGAGCAGCAGAACAAGATGCTGGAGACGAAGTGGAGCCTTCTGCAGCAGCAGAAGATGACTCTGAGTAACATGCACAGCATGTTACAGAGCTACATCAACAACCTTCAGCGGCAGCTGGAGACTCTGGGTCAGGAGAACCTGAAGCTGGGGGCAGAGCTTGGCAGCATGCAGGGGCTAGTGGAGGGCTTCAAGAACAAATATAAGGATAAGATCAATAAGCGTACAGAGATGGAGAATGAATTTGTCCTCATCAAGAAGGTTGTAGATGACGCTTACATGAACAAGGCAGAGCTGGAGTCTCACCTGGAAGGGCTGACTGATGAGATCAACTTCCTCAGGCAGCTGTATGAAGAGGAGATCCGGGAGCTGTCCTAGATCTTGGACACGTCTGTGGTTCTGTCCATGGACAACAGCTGCTCCCTGGACATGGGCAGCATCATCGCTGATGTCAAGGCCCAGTATGAAGAGATCGCCTATGCAGCTAGGCCAAGGCTGAGAGCATGTACCAGATCAAATATGAGGAGCTGGAGATGCTTGCTGGGAAGCATGGGGATGACCTGTGTCATACAAAGATGGAGATCTCTGAGATGAATGGGAACATCAACTGGCTCCAGGCTGAGATAGAGGGCCTCAAAGGCCAGAGGGCTTTCCTGGAGGCCGTCATCACAGATGCTGAGCAGCATGGGGAGCTGGCTGTTAAGAATGCCAACACCAAGCTGTATGAGCTGGGGCCCGCCCTGCAGTGGGCCAAGCAGGACATGGTACAGCAGCTGCATGAGTGGCAGGAGCTGATGAAATCCAGCTGGCTCTGGACATTGAGATTGCCACCTACAGAAAGCTGCTGGAGGGCATGGAGAGCTGGCTGGAGTTGGGGATGCAGAACATGCAGAACATGAGTATCCATATGAAGACCACCAGTGGCTATGCAGGTGGGCTGAGCTCAGCCTATGGGGACGTCACAAGCCCCAGCCTCAGCTATGGCCTGGTCTCCAGCTTTGGCTCTGGCATGGGCTCCACCTCCTTTAGTTGCACCAGCTCCATCAGGGCCATGGTTGTGAAGAGGATCAAGACCCACAATGGGATGCTGGTGTCAAAGTCCTCTGATGTCCTGCCCAAGTGAACAGCCATGGCAGCCCTTCCCAGGCTACCCATCCTGCAGCTGTCTCAGAGCCCATGGGGGAGGCAGCTGTGCAGGGGAATGCAAGACCCACCTGAGGTTCAGCCCTAGCCTTCAGCCCACCTGCAGGGGCAGCTTACTGCCTATGGCACCCCCCTTGCCCATGAATCCAGCTACAAAACAATTTTTTCCCCAAAATAAAACCTCAGCTAGCTATGCACACACACACACACACACACACACACACGCCACAAAAGAGCAAATCTAAGAGTTATTGGCCTTTAAGAGGAGGTAGAGAGAAAGAGATAAGGCTGGAAAGTTTATTCAAAGAGATAATAACAGAACTTCCTAAACCTAGAGAAAGATATCAATATTCAAGTTCAAGAAGCTTATAGAACCCCAAGCAGATTTAACTCAAAGAAGACTATCTCATGACATTTAATAATCAAACTTCCAAAGGTCAAGGATAAAGAAAGAATCCTAAAAGCAGCAGGAGAAAAGAAACAACATAAAATCGAGTTCTAATATTCCTGGCACAGACTTTTTTGTGAAAATCTTACAGGAAAGGAGAGAGTGGAATCACATATTTAAAGTGTTGGAGGAAAAAGAACTTTTATCCGACAATAGTATATCCAGTGTAAATACCCTTCAAACATGAAGGATAAATACTTTCCCACACAAACAAAAGCTGAAGGATTTCATCAATACCAGTCCTACAAGAAATGCTAAATGGAGTTCTTCAATATGAAAGAAAAGGATGTTAATGAGCAATAAGAAATCATCTGAAGGTTAAAAATTTACTGGTAATAGTAAGCACACAGAAAAACACAGACTATTCTAACCTATAATTATGTTATATAAACTACTCATCTCTTAAGTAGAAAGAAAAAAGATGAACTAATCAAAACTAATAACTACAACAACTTCTCAAGACATAGACAGTACAAAAAGACATAAATAGAAACAACAAAAAGTTAAAATGAAGGGAGAGTATGTTAAAGTGTCGATTTTCTACTAGTTTTCCTTTTCCTTGTTAGTTGTTTGTTTATGCAATCAGTATTAAGTTGTTATCAGTTTGAAATAATGGGCTATAAGATATTATCTGCAATACTTATGGTAACTTCAAATCTAAAAACATACAATGGATACAGAAAAACCAAAAAGCAAAAAATTAAAACATATCACCAGAAAAAAATTACATTCTCTAAAAGGAAGACAGGAAGGAAGGAAAGAAGGAAAGGAAAACCACAAAACAATCAAAAAACAAATAATAAAATGGCAGGAGTAAGGGATGAGTCCTTACCTATCAACAATAACATTAAATGTAGGTGGACTAAATTCTTCAATTGAAAGACATAGAGTGGATGAATAGGGGAAAAAAAACAAGACCCAATGATCTGTTGCCTGCAAGAAAAACACTTCACCTATAAAGACACATATGGACTGAAAATAAAGACATGGTAAAAGATATTCCATGCAAATGGGAAACCAAAAAAGAGCAGGAGTAGCTATACTTATAACAGAAAAAAATAAATTTCAAGACAAAAGAATAGAAAAAGCCAAGGAAGGTTATTATATAATGATAAAGGATTCAATTCAGAAAAAGGAAAGCAATTTTAAATATATATACACCCAACACTGGGGCATAGAGATATATAAAGGAAATACTAAAGAGCTAAAGAGAGAGACAGACCCCAATAAAATAATAATGAGACTTCCACACCCCACTTTCAGCATTTGACAGAGCTGACAGAAAATCAACAAAGAAACATTGGACTTACTCTGCACTGTAGACCAAATGAACCTAATAGATATAATTCATCCAATGGCTGCAGAATACACAGTATTCTTCTCCTCAGCACATGGCTCATTCTCAAAGAAAGACCATATGTTAGACAACAAAACAAGTCTTAAAACATTCCAAAAAAATTAATAATATTAAGTGTCTTCTCTGACCACAATAGAATAAAAGCAGGAATCAATAACAGGAGAAATTTTGTTAAGTATACAAACATATGGAAATTAAACTAGATGCTTCAGAATGACCACTGGGTCAATGAAGAAGTTATGAGGAAACTGTAAAATTTCTTGAGACAAATGATAAGAGAAACATGACATACCAAAACCTATGAGATGCAGTAAAAGCCATACTAAGAGGAAAGTATAGAGCTATAAGCACCTGCATCAAAAAAGAAGAAAAACATCAAATAAATAATTTAGTGATGCATCTTAAAGAACTAGAAAGGCAAGAATAAACCAAACTCAAAATTAGTAGAAGAAAAGTAATAATAAAGAGCAGAGCAGAAATAAATGATATTGAAATGAAGAAAGCAACACAAAAGACCAATAAAATGAAAAGTTCTTTTTTTAAAAGCCTAGCAAGATGGACAAACCTTTAGCCAACTAAGAAAAAAGAGATAAGACTATAATAAATAAATTTAGAGATTAAAATGGAGACATGACAATAGATACTGCAAAAGTTCAAAGGATCATGAGAAGCCACTAGGAGCAACTATATGTCAAACATTGGAAAACTTGGGAGAAATGAATAAATTCCTGGACACATATAACCTACGAAGATGGAACCATGAAGAAATCCAAAACCTGAATAGAGAAATAACAAGTAATGAGATCAAAGCCATAAAAAAAATTCTCCCAGCAAAGAAGAGCCCAGGACCCTATGACTTTATTGCGGAGTTTCACTAAACATTTAAAGAAGAACTATTACCAATCCTATGCAGGATATTCTGAAAAAATAGAGGAAGAGGGAGTACTTCCTAACTCAATCTGTGAGGCAAGTATTACCATGACATCAAAACCAGACAAAGACACATTAAAAAAAAAAAAACTACAGGTTTTTATCCTTAATTAACATTGATGCAAAAATCCTCCACAAAATACTAGCAAACTGAATTCAGCAACAAATTAAAAAGATCATTCATCATGACCAAGTGGGATTTATCTGAAGGATGAAAGGATGGTTCAACATACACAAATTAATCAATGTGATACATTATATCAACAAAGGACCAAAATTATATGACAACTTCAATTGATGTGGAAAAACATTTGAAAAAATTCAACATCCCTTCATGATAAAAGCCCTTAAAAAACTAGGTATAGAAGAAATGTGCTTCAACATAATAAGCCACATATGATAGACCCACAGCTACTGTCATACTAGTAAAAACTGAAAACCTTTTTCAGGAAAAAGGTTTTTCAGTTTTCCATACAGGAAAAACTGAAAACCTTTCCTCTAAAGGAAACCAAGATGAACACTTTTATCATTGTTATTCAACATAGTACTGGAAGTCATAGCTGGAGCAATCAGACAAAAGAAAAACATAAAGGCATCCAAATTGGAAAGGAAGAAATCAAATTATCCTTGTTTGCATGTTATATAATCTTTTATATGAAAAAACCTAAAGACTCCACCAAAAAACTATTAGTACTAATAAACAAATTCAATAAAGTTGCAAGATACAAAATCAACCTACACAAATCAGTAGCACTTCTATATGCCAATAGTGAATAATCTGAAAAAGAAATTAAAACATAATCCCACTTACGATAGCAACAAATAAGATAAAATACCTAGGAATAAACTTAACCAAAGAAATGAAAGATCTCTCTAATGGACACTATAAAATATTATGCAAGAAACTGAAGAAGGCAATCATAAGTTAAAGAATATTTTATATTAATGGATTCCATATTTATGGATTGGAAGAATCCATAAAATGTCCATACTATCCAAAGCAATCTACAGAGTCAATGCAATTCTTATCAAAATACCAATGACATTCTTCACAGAAATACAAAAAATAATCCTAAAGCTTATATGGAACCACAAAAGACCCAGAATAGCAAAAGCTATCCAGAGCGAAAAGAACAAAACTGGAGGAATCACATTACCTGACTTCAAATTATACTATAGAGCTATAGTAACAAAAACAACATGGTACTGGCATTAAAAACAGACACATTGAGAAAAGAAACAGAATAGAGTGCCCAGAGACAAATCCATACATCTACAGTGAACTCATTTTTGACAAAGGAACCAAGGACATACAATAGGGAAAGGACAGTTTCTTAAATAAAATGGTCCTGGGAAAACTGGATATCCATAAGCAGAAGAATGAAAGTAAACCCCTGTCTCTTGTCATATACAAAAATCTAATCAAAATGTATTAAAGACTGAAATCTAAGACCTCAAACTATGAAACTACTACAAGAAAACATTAGGGAAGCACCTCAGGTCATTGAACTGGGCAAAGATTACTTGAGTAAAATCTCACAGGCACAGGCAACCAAAGCAAAAATGGACAAATAGGATCACGCCAAGTTAAAAACTTCCCGTACAGCAAAAGAAGCAATCAATAAGGAATGGGAGCATTAAAGCAACCCATGGAATGGGAGAAAATATTTGCAAGCTACTAATCTGATGATGGATTAATAACCAGAATATATAAGGAGCTCAAACAACTCTATAGGAAAAAAACCTAATAATCCAATTTAAAAATGGGCAAAAGAGCTGACTAGACATTTCTCAAAAGAAGACATATAAACAGCAAACAGGTATATGAAAAGGTGCATGATATCACTGATCCTTAGAGAAATGTAAATCAAAACTACAATGAGAGATCATCTCACCCCAGTTAAAATGACTTTTATTCAAAAGACAGGCAATAATAAATGCTGGTGAGGATGTGCAGAAAAGGGAACCCTTGTATACTGTTGGTGGAAATATAAATTAGTACAACCACTATGGAGAATGCTAGGGAGGTTGCTCAAAACTAAAAATAGAGCTACCATATCTATTGCTGGGTCTATACCCAAAAGAAAGGAAATCAGTATAGGGGAGAGATACGTGCACTCTCATGTTTCTTGCAGCACTGTTCACAATACTTGCATTTGGAAGCAACCCAAGTGTCCATGAACAGATGAATCTTTTTTTTTTAATAAATGGGATACGTGTACACAATGGAGTGTCATTCAGCCATAAAAAAGAATAAGATCCTGTCATTTGCAACAATATGTATGGAACAGGAGGTCGTTATGTTATGTGACATATACAAGCCAGGCACAGAAAGACAAACTTTGAGTGTTTCCACTTATTTGTGGGAACGAACAATTAAAAAAATGAACTCATCGAGATAGAGTAGAATGATGGTTACCAGAAGCTGGAAAGGGTAATGGGCAGGTGGGGAGGAGAAGTGGGGGTGGTTAATGTACACAAAGATATAGTTAGAATGAATAAGATCTGTTATTTGATAACACAACAAGGTGACTATCTTAAATAATAAATTAATTGTACATGTTCAAATACCTAAAATAGTATAATTGAATTGTTTGTAACATAAAGGATAAATGCATGAGGTGAGGAATACCTCATTTACCCTGATGTGATTAAAATACATTGTATGCCTCTTTCAAAATATCCCATATACTCCATAAATATATACACCTACTATACACCTACAAAAACTAAAATATAAAAAATTAGGCAGTTAACAGAGGGTCAAAATCAAACGTATTCAAAACAAACTTCCAATAATCTCTTTTGCTTATTTCTAAATTTTGGATATTTTTCTGACATCTGTTGGCTCCATGAAGAATTTGAATTTGTTACCATGTAACTGAGCCTATATTATAAAAATCATAAAATGTTTGTTTGTTCTATTTTCTTTTTCTCTTTGTCCTTTTCTTCCATGTAAAACTGCTTGAATGCACATAGTAATTTTGGTAGAGGTTGGTTACTGATAATTGGTTAACTTTATAGCTTAACCCTGAGATGTTGTCTGTAAGATTAACGAACTTGGGTTGTTTTGTTGTTTAATATGTTAAAAAAAAAAAAAGAACAATGATCTTTAAATCATGCAGACCTCCTTGACGGCTGAGGCATACAAGTAGCTTTGATTATCAGGGGATATTGCCTCGCCCATTTTCTACTTTACTCATTAAAGCCTCCAGTACGTGAACATAAATTTTGGGGTTCTACAACAGCTAATGTCCAGAGGCTGCAAGTCATTGCTAATATTGGAGATATATGGTAGTACATGATGTTAAAGAAAAAATTCTTTTTTCTTTTCTTTGTGAAATCCTGGTAGACGTTAAGAGTAAACAGTTATAATAACATATTTAGGGAGTTTCTTAGGGATAGGTATATTTTCATAGTCATTGCCACGTGAAGAGCTATTGCCCATGGTATAGCACCAAAGACCTGAACTCAGAAGAAATGGGACAGTGACCTAGCTTAGAGGACAATGAAGAATGACAAAGTCAGTCTTAACTTCAAATTTTAACTAAGAACTTTTTTTTCCATGACAAATTTAAACATCAAACTGGAGAATCATAAGACCTCTGGAGCAGAGTTTTCAAATTATGTGGGATGAGGGACATAATATTTAAATAAATTTTATTTACATGTATTTTCTAGAGTGTGTGTTCTACTGGTCCATACGTGTCCTCATGTGCATGACTAGTATAACTATACTGGTGGTGCAATATGAAACTCACCAGATGAGTTTGCCAGCACCCAAACTATTCTATACCCTGCTTAACTAGATAAGTGCAATGATAATGTAGTTGGATGTCATTGCAATTTAAAAGATTGTTGTAAGCTTTTCAATGCATATTATCAGTTTCTTTATATACCTTGTCATGGCCTAGTGATAAACAGATCTGGCACCAGCCTGCAGACTGCATTTTATGTACTGCTCTACCTTAGGACAATAACATGAAACCGCTCTGACATCTCCAGATTTTTTCTTCTTCTCATGCTTAATTACTTTATTTGACAATTTTTAAAAATGTTGACTGTCATCTCAAGAACTTTGTTGCCTCTGTTTTTATAATGTAGTCATCAATGTAGCCAATACATGAAGCTTATCCAAGAAAACAAAAACATGAGAATAAGTTTTCTCAAAAAGTGGCTAATTTATATTAGCTTTTTAATCAATTGAATACAAATTAGGAATTTCTAAATTACAGATGGTCCCTGGCTGATAATTTCTGACTTTACATTACTTTAAGCATTCATACAACCATTCTTTTTTTCACTCTCAGTAGAGTATTTAAGAAATTGCATAAGATACTCTACAGTTTACTGTAAAGTAGGCTCTGTGTTAGATGATTTTCTCCAACTATAGGCTAACGTAAGTGTTCTGAGCATACTTAAGGTAAGCTAGACTAAGCTAAGCTATTATGGTAGGGTAGATGTATTAAATGCATTTTTGACTTATGAAATTTTCAATTTATGATGGATTTATTCTGACACAACCCCATCATAACACTTGTCAGTTAGTTATTAGGCATTTATATATTTATTTATTTATTTTAAGACTAGCCAAATGCAGTAGTGAGAAGGGGGAAAAAGAGTAGAACAAGGAGTTCAATCAGTAACTGACTGTAGTTATTTGGCCTTTTTAACATTAAATAATCATCAAGAGAACATATTGACCTATGGCTTATAATAAGGAAAAAACTATTTAAAGTACAAAAGACCAGCACTTCATGCCCCTAGAAGGTTAATAAAAGTGCAAATTGCTTTAAATTCAAGCACTAGCATTTGCTAATCTGGAACATTTTAATTATCCTCCTCTAAAAGCATTGACTTCTTATCATTAACCACAAAACAAGGTAAGCCCTTTGGTTCCTTGATTTCAATTTTTGGAACCTCAATAATTATGCTTAGTTTCACCTTTTTGCCGAATCAAAACATAAGATGGCAGAAAAGGACTGAAATCGGTCCAAATAGTACTTGAAATATGTTCATCAGTAAATATATTTTTAAAAATCCTAGAGGAGCTTTGATTTTGCAGAATGTGGATGGGAGAGGACAAGTTATAAGTGATAAACATAGTAAATAAGTGATACGGTATGTTGAAAGGTAATAATTGTTAAAGAAAGAAGAAAACAAATAGAGAAAGTTTTGAGGATTGAGTTTGTGGGGGTTGAGAGTGTGAGTTGTGGGAAAGGAGGAAGGTTATGTTGTGATATTAATAAGCATGATCAGTTTCTGCCCTTTTGAAAAGATACAGTCTGAGCAAAGACTAGAGGAAAGTGGTATGTCTGGGGGAACAGCATTTCACACAGGAGGAATAGCTGATGCAAAGACCTCAAGGCAGAATTTGTGCCTGATGCATTCAAGGAGCAGCCAACAGGACGGAGAATAGTACGAAGGGAACTCAGAGAGGAATTGTGTACATGTGGATGAGTAGGGGCCTACGGAACATCTTTTCTGTCTTTTATCTCTCCTTTGCTCTGGCCATCACTGCTTCACCTCGACAGGTAGGACCCAGTAGGTATCACTGCACATCTGGGGCTCGCAGGGCTTGCTCCTAAGTAAATGTGGAAGTGTGCAGTTAACATCCCCTGGAAAAGCCCAAAACCAGTGGGAGATGACTGCTGGTGAATAAGAATTCCCCAATCATATCGTTAAACTAAAATGAAGAATGAGCCTGAAGAATTCCTCAGCAGACAAAGCTAGTTAGGCCTCATAAATAACCTTAACCTTGCTTGATTTGCAAACATAAGTGAAACTTAATTGGGGCCATTTTTTGTAAATGTCTACATGAAAGAAAAATAGCATTTAGGCTTAACTGGTCAGAAGCAGGGACAGACCTTGTAATTTTATAACTAGGGACTTTCCAGTGGGATAGATCAAATAGGCAACAATGTAACTGTAACCAATCAAATATTTTCTTTGCTTTACTTCTGTATTTGCCCCATAAAAGCCTCCCCCTTGCATTTCCTTGGTGGAGCTTCTGAACCACTCTGGTTTGGAGATTACTGATTCATGAGTCACTGTTTACTCAAACTCTTTAAAATTGTATTGCGTCTCAGTCTGCTTTTGAACAATGTATAGGCACAATATTCATGACCTCAGAAGGACCTGGCAGGATTGAGTTGCCCAGAGATAACCATCTCAATGACACATCCGTGGGCATACTTTTCTCCTTCCTCTTGTTCCCTTTCTCTGAGTCTTGAAAGTCACTTTCAAAATAATAAGTTTCTTGCTTGTAAATGCTTGTCTGAGGCTTTGTTTTTTGGGACGATAGAAGGAAAGACAAAGCTAGGAGACTAGAGCATGAAGGATCATGTAGGTCACTTAAGACTTCGTAAAAACTTTAGCTTTCTTTGAGTTCAGGGTTTTGGACCAGGAAGCGAGATGAGCTGACTCAAAAGGAAGAAACTGAGGAAACAGAGAAAGAATACTCTTTATCAATCAAAAGAATGACTCTAGGTTCCAGTAGGCAACTAGCTGTTTGTCTCCCCAGGCAAAAATACAAACTCACAATCTTTAGTCTGGATAATCTCAAGAGAGTTTAAAACCAGGTTAAATAGCCATGCTTAAAGTCTCTTTTTTTCCTGTGGAAAATAAGAAGGAATGGCCTTTCCTTAAGATTGGTACTAGCCTTACATTCTGAGCCTAGTGGAAAAGTTCTAAGTAGGCCTCTGGGATTTTTGTGAAAGTAGATGAGGAATTAAGCTGATTCTAAAAGAGAATACAGTACTTAATTTTTATTCTCTCAACTCCTCGATGTTACCACTGTGGAAGGACAGAAAGCATTTTAAAACATAGAGAATGCAATTAACACAATAAAAATATGTTAATACCAAAAAGTTTGCTTTATATTTGATGTGTCTATGAATGAATTTTAAAGAATGATTGTTACCCAAGGCTTAATGCTTTAAGAATCTGTTGATGAAACCACAAAATAATCTGAATAGACTTTTTTTATAGACCTACAGGAACTCTTGATGTTTATTATATTACCCTTCAAATTATATATTCATTTATTCTAATACAACATAGTTTTTTCTTCAGTATTAGTGCTAAAAGATGTTTTTGTTGTTGTTGCCTACAGTTCTTGTAGTATGAGGGATGTTGGTTTCTGACAAATCAAACAGAAATGATGTTTTTGAACCAAAACCAGAATTTATATGACAAAATTTTAGCTTTCTAGAAGCAGAATTCTCTTTTAATTTATGGGTTTAGTAGCCCTTATAGATACAAACCTTTGTACATATTTTTGAGATTTAGGAGGCTTTCTATAATTACATTGAGAAATCAAAATAAACTTTGACTATGTTCCTAGATTGGATTTCAACTTTACCCTAATATAATAATAGTTTAATACAATTCCAAGCAAATTCCAAGCTTATTTTGTAAAATAAAAATTCTTAGCATGTATAGCTAAGTATACTTATATATCTTAGCATATATAACTAAGATAATTGGAGAAATGAAATGATCTAGAGGAGAATTTGCCTAGCTAGATAATATAAAATATTATGAAAGTACATTTATTAAAGAAATAAAATAGTCAACAGACATAAGAAATCAATAATGAAACCAACAGTTAACTCAGAAATAAAACCTAGGTTTTAGTATCTACATAATTTAGTAGTTTATGAATATGTAATTACAAATCATTAGGGACCAGAGGAGTGGTCAATAAATGATCCTGAGACAATTGATTAGTTTTTTGAAACAAACCTATAATATGTGCTCCTTGTGGAAGCAGAATTCTAAAATGGCACTCAGGATGCTCCATCCTAATCCCTGGAAACTGAATATGGTAAAGTATCCGTCCCATAATTATGCTATGTTATTGGCTAAGTTGACCTTAAAATAGTGAGAAATCTGGAGGTGAAACTAATTTAATTCATTAGGCTTTTTAAAGCAGAGTTTTCTACTTTCTACTATAGCAGAAGAGAAAGTTGGAGAGGTTGGAAGAACGAGAGAGAGTCAATACCCCCTCTCTGGCTTGGACTATGGAATAGGCCAAGGAAGAAGAAATGGAGGTGGCCTTAAGGAGTTCAAAGAGATCTTCTGCTGACAAGCACCAAGGAAATGGGAAACACAGTGCCACAACTTCATGAAACTCAATTGCACCAACAACATAAACAAGCACAGAAGTTGATTTTTTTTTTCTGAACTTCCAGATAAGAACCCAGTCCAGTCAATACCTGGATTTCTGTAAGACCCTAAACTGACAACCCAGTTTAGTTCGCCTGGGCTTCTAACCTACAGAACTATGAGCTAATAAATTCATGTTGCTTTAAGCCACCATATATGTGATAATATTCAGCAATAGAAAAACTACCTGATCTAAGCTCCACATGACTCAAGAGTAATTGTCCTTCTAGCCCAACGTCTGTGGGTAGATTCAGAAAGAATCTTGAAGGAAAGGTGGCACAGCAGTTTCCTGAGGGGAAGCGAGCAGGTGGCTGAGTGCCCAGAGCTCCACATGTGGCCACAGGACCATGGAGAGGGGACACAACCAAAATAAGCTGAATTTGGAAGTGAATCCTAGTGTCATCTCTGTCATCTCTAATGTGAGGCAAATGTAGAGGGAAGTCTACTTCCTTCTGTACTGCTTCTGATGCAAAATAAAAAAATGACATATGTTCTCAGGAATGAGGATGGAATTAAAAAGGAAAAGTCATTTGATTTGTTTTCTAATAATTCAGGTGCAAGCATAATAGAATTTGGAGAATTTTTTGTCATTATGACTGCTGATAAAAGTGATGCTATAAATAACAACTTCTTACAAATGGGTAACACCCCATACTTCTAAAGGAGTATTCACTTATTTGCCTTAATTTAATACTCTTATTGATAATGCAAGCTAGGCAGGGCATGACCAGTATTTTTATATTTATTTTATTGAACAAAGAGCCAGTAAAATGTCTACCTTTTATAAAGGGTTAATATAAACAATTGAGAAAACTGTTAGAAATATTAAATTTATAGATGGGCAAAAATAGCTGCATTTCCTTTTGGTAATATTAACTCACAATTTTTTTTCCACTTTGAATAAAGTAGTGGTAAATGAGAAAAATGATGACATTTCAGTTCACAAAAATTTAATTATGTATCTGAGCCATTAATCTGAAGATAATCACTGAAGGTAATCTTCATTATGAAAATTCTTGTCAGTAATGAAAAAAAAAAAGAAAAGAAAACTACGTGGCCTAAAACATGTTTTTAATGATAAGAAAAGAAAATGTATGTCTTACAGTAAAGTGGAAATTAAAGGGTCCAAATCATACCTACCACATATATTCATAAAAATCATCCTGCAAAAAAAATCAAAGTAAATTTACAAAAATATAAACAGTGATTTATATAGTAAGGCAATGGGAGTAGTGATTGAATGAGTAAGTCAAATGCCCCTCCCATGTCCTCCTCTTTGAAAACCTCTCATTACCAGCAGCTGCTATTGAAGATGCAGGCCTAAGCTGTATCTGCCAGTAGGCATCTGACCCAAGATAAGCCAATCAAATCCTGTGTCCTTGTAATTTGAAACTGGAATTCATGGTAAAACTAAGGCTGGGTCAGTCATTTTCTACTTACCTATATTTGCATGTATACTAAAGCAGCAAGAACAAATTTACAGAGAAAGGAAATAAAACTAACAAATAAAAAAGGGAAAACAAGATTCCTGTAGCTTCTGACTCTTCCCTTGTACATTTCCTCTGCCGTGCATTTCATCAAACTCCCTGCATCTGTTCAATCAGTGCCCTTTCCGGCTTTAGCTTGTTTGAGTAGGTTTATATTTCTTACAACAAAAACATCCACAAAAATAATGGATAATTTGAATGTTCTTTAAGTATCTTTTATTTATTTAAAAATCTATATTAAAAATTTACCATCAGAGTGAACAGGCAACCTACAGAATGAGAAAAAATTTTTGCAATCTACCCATCTGACAAAGGGCTAATATCCAGAATCTACAATGAACTCAAACAAATTAACAAGAAAAAAACAAACAACCCCACCAACAAGTGGGTGAAGGATATGAACAGACACTTCTCAAAAGACATTTATGCAGCCAAAAGACACATGAAAAAATGCTCATCATCACTGGACATCAGAGAAATGCAAATCAAAAACCACAGTGAGATACCATCTCACACCAGTTAGAATGGCGATCATTAAGAAGTCAGGAAACAACAGGTGCTGGAGAGGATGTGGAGAAATAGGAACACTTTTACACTGTTGGTGGGACTGTCAACTAGTTCAACCATTGTGGAAGTCAGTGTGGCGATTCCTCAGGGATCTAGAACTAGAAATACCATTTGACCCAGCCATCCCATTACTGGGTATATACCCAAAGGATTATAAATCATGCTGCTATAAAGACACATGCCCATGTATGTTTATTGTGGCACTATTCACAATAGCAAAGACTTGGAACCAAGCCAAATGTCCAACAATGATAGACTGGATAAAGAAAATGTGGCACATATACACTATGGAATACTGTGCAGCCATAAAAAATGATGAATTCATGTCCTTTGTAGGGATATGGATGAAGCTGGAAACCACCATTTTCAGCAAACTATCTCAAAGACAAAAAACCAAACACCGCATGTTCTCACTCACAGCTGGGAATTGAACAACGAGAACACATGGACACAGGAAGGGGAACATCACACACTGGGGCCTGTTGTGGGGTGTGGGGAGGGGGGAGGGATAGCATTAGGAGATATACCGAATGTAAATGATGAGTTAATGGGTGCAGCACACCAACATGGCACATGTATACATATGTAACAAACCTGCACGTTGTGCACATGTACCCTAAAATTTAAAGTATAATTTAAAAAAAAACAGAAAAAAAAATTTAGAATTTTTACAATCAAGCACAAATATTTCATCCAAAAATCTGTAAAAATATGCAAGTAAAAAAATGAAACAGAATGTAAGTGGATGGTCAAAATGAAAATATTTTTATACATATTTATCATCATTTAAGTCCCAAAAGATATGAGGTGGCATAGAGTAAAATACATATACTGTAGGTAAAATTAATTTCAGAAAATAAAAGTTAAATAAATTACAGAGATGGTAGATATTATGCCAGGAAACTAGGATAAGAAAATCATATTAACTGAATATAGAATTTGATTCCAAGCTTTCTAGTTGCCAAAGGGAGGAAAAGCACAGAATGATTTTCTATCCATTGTCTGATTAAAGGAAGCATCCTTGTTCTTTAGAAAAGACACATTTTTCCCTGTTTTTTAAGTCTGAATTGAACATCTTCAATATATACTGTGGTAGATTATGAAATGTGAACTTTAGAAAAGTAAAAAAGATAGTATCATCCATCTAAGACTTTAATTTTGTCCTGTAGAAATTTGTGACTTAGTGAGGTAAACCAATTTGCCTTGGGTCACACAGAAATAAGAGCAATTTGGTAAATGATACAGAAATATTTTCCTGTTATGTTAAATTCTTTAAATTAGCATTTTTGGAAGTCATTTGTAGAGTAGTTCAAGGGAATTGTGTTGGTGTGTCGCTTTGAAATTATAAAGGGATGGCTGTTTGACATGCATTTCATCTTTCTGAAAAAATAAGCTTAGTTCCTAACTTGGTCTTGAATTGATAGCTCCATTATTGTTGAATAAGACAGTTAATCCCTCAATGAATATCTGCAGTTCAAATGTTTTGTGTTGTTGATTAAAGTGAGAGTCATGGGCTCCAAATGACGATGTGCAGGTGGCAAAGTAATGTCCATATTAATAAAAAAAAACAAAGAATGTTATTTCTATTCTTGCCCAAGTAGAGAATATTTTCACCTATCAACTTCGGGCAAAACAGTGCCAGTGCAAAGAGGAAAGATCATAACTCAGAGACTTAAGATGTGGATTTGGAAAGTGAATCCATGCCAGGCACAGTGGCTCATGCCTATAATCCCAACACTTTGGGAGGCCGAGGTGGGTGGATCACTTGAGTTCAGGGGTTTGAGACAAGACTGGCCACCATGATGAAACCCTATCTCTACTAAAAATACTAAAATTAGCCGAGTGTGGTGGTGCACACCTGTAATCCCAGCTACTCTGGAGGCTGAGGCAGGAGAATCACTTGCACCTGGGAGGCAGAGGTTTCATTGAGACAAGATCGTACCATTGCACTCCAGCCTGGGCCTGGGTTACAAATGAGACTCTGTCTCAAAAAAAAAAAAAAAAAAGGAAAAAGAAAAAGAAAAAAGAAAGTGAATCCATGTTACTCAAGTCCCAAATGTATTAGGGTGTTACCATGAGAAATGTTTTTGGTTTATTTATTTATAAGATATAAAATACAAAGCCAGTGGAAAATTTCTAGGAAATAATATTGTGCAGTAAAAAAGAGAGTACAACAGTATATAACATATTGACCTCTTATCTAGCTTCAGACAGAATGGTTTTTTTTTTTTTTTTTTTTTGTCTTTGGCAGGACATTACGCTTCATTTGAGTGATTATAGGTCTGATAATTTTTCAAAGGTACTGGAGGAAAAGCAACAGTTTCATTTCTGTTTAACAGATACTACTTTTCTATGACTGCCAACCAAGGTCAAGAAGGTGATTTGGCCAAAGGCCCAGTGTAATCAAAGCCACTGTAGGTAAAGTGAAATATTTAATTATAACTCTCATTTTCCAAATGACTTCTTGACTAAATGGTTGCTCAAACATGAACCCAGGCTGCCAGGAGTGATTGTGCTTTCTGGGTGGACAAATGAAGGAAATTAAAGAAACCAGCCTGTTCGTGTAATTCTTGGCTGAATAAGAATCCATTCTTGAGCGAATATATAATAAGAGAGTAAAAATGAAGGCTAAACATGAAAGGAGTAGAGGACAGAGCCTGATAGACTGAGGTTAGGCATGCTTTCCATTGGCAATATCACATCAAGAGTAATAGAAGGTGAGAGGAAACGAAGATTGGATTTTAATATGAAGGTTTTATGCCAAAGCAATTGTTGCAATAATCGATAAAGCATGGCATAATATTAAGATTCTTTCTTTTTTTTAATTTATTATTATTATACTTTAAGTTTTAGGGTACATGTGCACAATGTGCAGGTTAGTTACATATGTATACATGTGCCATGCTGGTGCGCTGCACCCACTAACTCATCATACAGCGTTAAGTATATCTCCAAATGCTATCCCTCCCCCCTCCCCCCACCCCACAACAGTCCCCAGAGTGTGATGTTCCCCTTCCTGTGTCCATGTGTTCTCATTGTTCAATTCCCACCTATGAGTGAGAATATGCGGTGTTTGGTTTTTTGTTCTTGCGATAGTTTACTGAGAACGATGATTTCCAATTTCATCCATGTCCCTACAAAGGACGTGAACTCATCACTTTTTATGGCTGCATAGTATTCCATGGTACATATGTGCCACATTTTCTTAATCCAGTCTATCACTGTTGGACATTTGGGTTGGTTCCAAGTCTTTGCTATTGTGAATACTGCCGCAATAAACATACGTGTGCATGTGTCTTTATAGCAGCATGATTTATAATCCTTTGGGTATATACCCAGTAATGGGATGGCTGGGTCAAATGGTATTTCTAGTTCTAGATCCCTGAGGAATCACCACACTGACTTCCACAATGGTTGAACTAGTTGACAGTCCCACCAACAGTGTCAAAGTGTTCCTATTTCTCCACATCCTCTCCAGCACCTGTTGTTTCCTGACTTTTTAATGATTGCCATTCTAACTGGTGTGAGATGGTATCTCATTGTGGTTTTTGATTTGCATTCCTCTGATGGCCAGTGATGGTGAACATTTTTTCATGTGTTTTTTGGCTGCATAAATGTCTTCTTTTGAGAAGTGTCTGTTCATGTCCTTCACCCACTTTTTGATGGGGTTGTTTGTTTTTTTCTTGTAAATTTGTTTGAGTTCATTGTAGATTCTGGATATTAGCCCTTTGTCAGATGAGTAGGTTGCGAAAATTTTCTCCCATTTTGTAGGTTGCCTGTTCAGTCTGCTGGTAGTTTCTTTTGCTGTGCAGAAGCTCTTTAGTTTACTTAGATCCCATCTTTCAATTTTGGCTTTGGTTGCCATTGCTTTTGGTGTTTTAGACATGAAGTCCTTGCCCATGCCTATGTCCTGAATGGTATTGCCTAGGTTTTCTTCTAGGGTTTTTATGGTTTTAGGTCTAACGTTTAAGTCTTTAATCCATCTTGAATTGATTTTTGTATAAGGTGTAAGGAAGGGATCCAGTTTCAGCTTTCTACATATGGCTAGCCAGTTTTCCCAGAACCATTTATTAAATAGGGAATCCTTTCCCAATTGCTTGCTTTTCTCAGGTTTGTCAAAGATCAGATAGTTGTAGATATGCGGCGTTATGTCTGAGGGCTCTATTCTGTTCCATTGATCTATATCTCTGTTTGGTACCAGTACCATGCTGTTTTGGTTACTGTAGCCTTGTAGTATAGTTTGAAGTCAGGTAGTGTGATGCCTCCAGCTTTGTTCTTTTGGCTTAGAATTGACTTGGCGATCCGGTCTCTTTTATGGTTCCATATGAACTTTAAAGTAGTTTTTTCCAATTCTATGAAGAATGTCATTGGTAGCTTGATGGAGATGGCATTGAATCTGTAAATTACCTTGGGCAGTATGGCCATATTCATGATATTGATTCTTCCTACCCATGAGCATGGAGTGTTCTTCCATCTGTTTGTACCCTCTTTTATTTCCTCGAGCAGTGGTTTGTAGTTCTCCTTGAAGAGCTCCTTCACATCCTTTGTAAGTTGGATTCCTAGGTATTGTATTCTCTTTGAAGCAATTGTGAATGGGAGTGCACTCATGATTTGGCTCTCTGTTTGTCTGTTGTTGGTGTATAAGAATGCTTGTGATTTTTGCACATTGATTTTGTATCCTGAGACTTTGCTGAAGTTGCTTATCAGCTTAAGGAGATTTTGGGCTGAGACAATGGGGTTTTCTAGATATACAATCATGTCGCCAGCAAACAGGGACAATTTGACTTCCTCTTTTCTTAATTGAATACCGTTTATTTCCTTCTCCTGCCTAATTGCCCTGGCCAGAACTTCCAACACTATGTTGAATAGGAGTGGTGAGAGAGGGCATCCCTGTCTTGTGCCAGTTTTCAAAGGGAATGCTTCCAGTTTTTGCCCATTCAGTATGATATTGGCTGTGGGTTTGTCATAGATAGCTCTTATTATTTTGAGATACATCCCATGAATACCTAATTTATTGAGAGTTTTTAGCATGAAGGGTTGTTGAATTTTGTGAAAGGCCTTTTCTGCATCTATTGAGATAATCATGTGGTTTTTGTCTTTGGTTTTGTTTATATGCTGGATTACATTTATTGATTTGCGTGTATTGAACCAACCTTGCATCGCAGGGATGAAGCCCACTTGATCATGGTGGATAAGCTTTTTGATGTGCTGCTGGATTCGGTTTGCCAGTATTTTATTGAGGATTTTTGCATCAATGTTCATCAAGGATATTGGTCTAAAATTCTCTTTTTTGGTTGTGTCTCTGCCCGGCTTTGGTATCAGGATGACGCTGGCCTCATAAAATGAGTTAGGGAGGATTCCCTCTTTTTCTATTGATTGGAATAGTTTCAGAAGGAATGGTACCAGTTCCTCCTTGTACCTCTGGTAGAATTCGGCTGTGAAGCCATCTGGTCCTGGACTCTTTTTGGTTGGTAAGCTATTGATTATTGCCACAATTTCAGCTCCTGTTATTGGTCTATTCAGAGATTCAACTTCTTCCTGGTTTAGTCTTGGGAGGGTGTATGTGTCGAGGAATTTATCCATTTCTTCTAGATTTTCTAGTTTATTTGCGTAGAGGTGTTCATAGTATTCTCTGATGGTAGTTTGTATTTCTGTGGGATTGGTGGTGATATCCCCTTTATCATTTTTTATTGCGTCTATTTTATTCTTCTCTCTTTTTTTCTTTATTAGTCTTACTAGCGGTCTATCAATTTTGTTGATCCTTTCAAAAAACCAGCTCCTGGATTCATGAATTTTTTGGAGGGTTTTTGTGTCTCTATTTCCTTCAGTTCTGCTCTGATTTTAGTTATTTCTTGCCTTCTGCTATCTTTTGAATATGTTTGCTCTTGCTTTTCTTGTTCTTTTAATTGTGATGTTAGGGTGTCAATTTTGGATCTTTCCTGCTTTCTCTTGTGGGCATTTAGTGCCATAAATTTCCCTCTACACACTGCTTTGAATGCGTCCCAGAGATTCTGGTATGTTGTGTCTTTGTTCTCGTTGGTTTCAAAGAACATCTTTATTTCTGCCTTCATTTCGTTATGTACCCAGTAGTCATTCAGGAGCAGGTTGTTCAGTTTCCATGTAGTTGAGTGGTTTTGAGTGAGATTCTTAATCCTGAGTTCTAGTTTGATTGCACTGTGGTCTGAGAGATAGTTTGTTATAATTTCTTTTCCCTTACATTTGCTGAGGAGAGCTTTACTTCCAAGTATGTGGTCAATTTTGGAATAGGTGTGGTGTGGTGCTGAAAAAAATGTATATTCTGTTGATTTGGGGTGGAGAGTTCTGTAGATGTCTATTAGGTCTGCTTGGTGCAGAGCTGAGTTCAATTCCTGGGTATCCTTGTTGACTTTCTGTCTCGTTGATCTGTCTAATATTGACAGTGGGGTGTTAAAATCTCCCATTATTATTGTGTGGGAGTCTAAGTCTCTTTGTAGTCACTCAGGACTTGCTTTATGAATCTGGGTGCTCCTGTATTGGGTGCATATATATTTAGGACAGTTAGCTCTTCTTGTTGAATTGATCCCTTTACCATTATGTAATGGCCTTCTTTGTCTCTTTTGATCTTTGTTGGTTTAAAGTCTGTTTTATCAGAGACTAGGATTGCAACCCCTGCCTTTTTTTGTTTTCCATTTGCTTGGTAGATCTTCCTCCATCCTTTTATTTTGAGCCTATGTGTGTCTCTGCACATGAGATGGGTTTCCTGAATACAGCACACTGATGGGTCTTGACTCTTTATCCCATTTGCCAGTCTGTGTCTTTTAATTGGAGCATTTTGTCCATTTACATTTAAAGTTAATATTGTTATGTGTGAATTTGATCCTGTCATTATGGTGTTAGCTGGTTATTTTGCTCGTTAGTCCACGCAGCTTCTTCCTAGTCTTGATGGTCTTTACATTTTGGCATGATTTTGCAGCGGCTTGTATCGGTTGTTCCTTTCCATGTTTAGTGCTTCCTTCAGGAGCTCTTGTAGGGCAGGCCTGGTGGTGACAAAATCTCTCAGCATTTGCTTGTCTGTAAAGGATTTTATTTCTCCTTCACTTATGAAGCTTAGTTTGGCTGGATATGAAATTCTGGGTTGAAAATTCTTTTCTTTGAGAATGTTGAATATTGGCCCCCACTCTCTTCTGGCTTGTAGAGTTTCTGCCGAGAGATCCGCTGTTAGTCTGATGGGCTTCCCTTTGTGGGTAACCCGACCTTTCTCTCTGGCTGCCCTTAACATTTTTTCCTTCATTTCAACTTTGGTGAATCTGACAATTATGTGTCTTGGAGTTGCTCTTCTCGAGGAGTATCTTTGTGGTGTTCTCTGTATTTCCTGAATCTGAATGTTGGCCTGCCTTGCTAGATTGGGGAAGTTCTCCTGGATAATATCCTGCAGAGTGTTTTCCAACTTGGTTCCATTCTCCCCATCATTCACATGGTCCCAAATTTCTTGGAGGCCTTGCTTGTTTCTTTTTATTCTTTTTTCTCTAAACTTCCCTTCTCACTTCATTTCATTCACTTCATCTTCTATTGCTGATATCCCTTCTTCCAGTTGATCGCATCAGCTCCTGAGGCTTCTGCATTCTTCACGTAGTTCTCGAGCCTTGGTTTTCAGCTCCATCAGCTCCTTTAAGCACTTCTCTGTATTGGTTATTCTAATTATACATTCTTCTAAACTTTTTTCAAAGTTTTCAACTTCTTTGCCTTTGGTTTGAATGTCCTCCAGTAGCTCGGAGTAATTTGATCGTCTGAAGTCTTCTTCTCTCAGCTCGTGAAAGTCATTCTCCATCCAGCTTTGTTCCGTTGCTGGTGAGGAACTGCGTTCCTTTGGAGGAGGAGAGGCACTCTGCTTTTTAGAGTTTCCAGTTTTTTGGCTCTTTTTTTTCCCCATCTTTGTGGTTTTATCTACTTTTGGTCTTTCATGATGGTGATGTACAGATGGGTTTTTGGTGTGGATGTCCTTTCTGTTTGTTAGTTTTCCTTCTAACAGACAGGACCCTCAGCTGCAGGTCTGTTGGAGTACCTGGCCATGTGAGGTGTCAGTCTGCCCCTGCTAGGGGGTGCCTCCCAGTTAGGCTGCTCGGGGGTCAGGGGTCAGGGACCCACTTGAGGAGGCAGTCTGCCCGTTCTCAGATCTCCAGCTGCATGCTGGGAGAACCACTGCTCTCTTCAAAGCTGTCCGACAGGGACATTTAAGTCTGCAGAGGTTACTGCTGCCTTTTTGTTTGTCTGTGCCCTGCCACCAGAGGTGGAGCCTACAGAGGCAGGCAGGCCTCCTTGAGCTGTGGTTGGCTCCACCCAGTTCGAGCTTCCCTGCTGCTTTGTTTACCTAAGCAAGCCTGGGCAATGGCAGGCGACCCTCCCCCAGTCTCGCTGCCGCCTTGCAGTTTGATCTCAGACTGCTGTGCTAGCAATCAGTGAGACTCTGTGGGCGTAGGACCCTCCAAGCCAGGTGCGGAATATAATCTCCTGGTGAGCCGTTTTTTAAGACCATCAGAAAAGCACAGTATTCGGTGGGAGTGACCCGATTTTCCAGGTGCCATCTGTCACCCCTTTCTTTGACTAGGAAAGGGAACTCCCTGACCCCTTGCACTTCCCGAGTGAGGCAATGCCTCTCCCTGCTTCGGCTCGTGCATGGTGCGCGCACCCACTGACCTGCGCCCACTGTCTGGCACTCCCTAATGAGATGAACCCGGTACCTCAGATGGAAATGCAGAAATCACCCGTCTTCTGCGTCGCTCATGCTGGGAGCTGTAGACCGGAGCTGTTCCTATTCGGCCATCTTCAAGATTCTTTGAAAAAGAGAGAGGAGTTGGCACAAGTCAATATGGGGACAAAGTTGGTGAGAATTCCTTACTTTAAGAATTTACAGTGTGAGAACATGAGTTGGGAAATAAAACTGTAATAAAATTACATTTATATTTATTTGTAAACTCACACCATGTTGGAAATAAAAATAAAAATACAGAAGTATAGGTCGGGTGTGGTGGCTCACTCTTGTAATGCCAGCACTTGGGAGGCCAAGGCAGGTGGATCACGAGGTCAGGAGATTGAGACCATCCTGGCCAATATGTTGAAACCCTGTCTCTACTAAAAATACAAAAATTAGCTGGGTGTCGTGGCACGCATCTGTAATCCCAGCTACTCGGGAGGCTGAGGCAGGAGAATCCCTTGAACCCAGGAGGTGGAGATTGCATTGAGCTGAGATCGCGCCACTGCACTCCAGCCTAGAGACAGAGCAAGACTCCATCAAAAAAAAAGTATAAATATTCCATTATCCAACAATTCCTGTTGTAATAATCTATCCCACATAAATAACAGAATGTGAATATATGTGTATATATATGTATGTACATATGCATGTAGTTAGGTAGGTACATATACACATACACAGAGTGATATGTACATATATATCTAAATTCCATTTCAGTATTGTTTATATTAGCAAAAACTGGAGGCAAACTAAGGCGCCATCTACATCATGCATCTTTTTAAAGGAAATGTATCATATGTAATAAACTAATTTTAAGCAAAAATGCAGGTTACACGCTGATATGTAACAAGAAGTGTTAGAAAGAGATTTGTAAAATAGATACACATATTGATATATGTATTATGATGCCTGCATAAGTAAAGCAGAAAGTTAGGAAGTACATATAACTCTCAGTTTTTACCTTGGTGCGACTGGAGGGGTGAAAGAAAGAACTTTAATCTCCTTACAAAATTTTTAGAAGAGCTAATGGTATGAGTAAATATGGGGTAAATATTTATTTTTTATAACTTTCTGTATCTTATAAAAAATTTGTAATGAGTTAGATATTTATCTGTATATTAACTATCTGGTTTGCACAGATAGACTGCATATTTCTAAAGATTTTAAAGGTAATATTAGGAGATAAACATCTCTAACATGTCTTCCACTGGAAGAAGGAAAACCATGATTTTTACATGAATATATCATTTTGTGTTTTATAATTTAACAAGGACACAACAGAAAAAGATATGAAGTCAGGCAGGATTATTTAATGCATATTGGTAAAAAAAAGACTAACACTGGTTAAAAAGATTAAAAAGTAACAGAAAAATGAAAACAAATGCATAAGATCTAAAAGAAAGGGACAGAAAGACTACCATCAGAAGATATGAGAAGATAGGTCGAATTATAAAAGCCATATTCAGGAAGTCATAAGATGACTTTTTGAATTATTAAATAGAGTGTCATAAAATTGATGAAAAGTAAGCCAGTTATATGCTTGCATGTACAAAAACAAAAAAATAAAATATATAAGGAAAACAAAGAGAAAAGATGCTTTTAAATCAATATAAAGTAGGATAAAGATGGTGGATGAAAAGGGTCCAATCTAAAGGAAATGAGAAGGGTAGATGCAAGATGTATAATTTCCACTTGCCAAATATTATAAAAAGACAAGTGGCAAGCTATGGCTGCACAGAAATCTTGCCTAAAAGAAAATGTAGAGGAAATAGAAAGCATCAGGGTCCCATAACCCAAGAGACAAAGGAATGACATGATGCTGAACATTAATAGACATAAGAGAAGCTGATCAAGGAATGATTCATATTCCACTTTTCAAGATGAGACGCAAACAGGAGTAGTAATAAAACTAATAAAATTTTGTCTTTATTGTATTAATCAGCATTTCCAAAGAAGCTCATTTGTGAAGAAGAAAGAAAAAAATTGTGGTATCTAAAGGGAAAATATTTTAAGATCTTGTTTAAGTTTTCATAAAAGAACAAATCTGTGATCATCCATGTAGCCTCTTTCACATTTTATAAAAATTGTATACCCAAGGAACTGGAAAAGACACATTCATCTAACATGGTTATTTCACTATCATTCTGGCCTCTCTGCCTTCAATTTCCTTGCTTCTTTCTTTCTTCTTCTTAACCCATGGTTTTGGATAATTATAGTTCATTTCTTCAACCCCAATAAGATTCTTTAGAGTATTTTGCTGCTTTATTCACTATGCACTTAGCTAACTTATGTTTAGTTGTTCTAATTAAAATGATTATTAAAATTATCTCAGTAATAGAAGACTTTTAACACTGTGTCTCTTTATTGATGGAAGGAAATTAAAAAGAAAAATTTATAAGGCCTTAAGATGTTGACTAAATTTGTAGTTTTGACAGTTTCACAAATTAAATTATTTTTAAGCAAAATGAACGAGCAATGTAGTGACAAATGTAAAACAAACATTGTTTTGGCATTTCACTGTGCCTACGATGAAGCACATGGCCTCAGTGGGGGGAAAAGGAATCAGAACGGATATCAGGAACTAAGGAAGGGACATCTGATAAAGTGACTGCAGCTCCTGGGCTGTGCTGAAGAACCCCGTGTTCTTGCTCTATCTCATACAGCCTTATTAAGGCTTCTTGCATGTGCGGGTCAGCAATAGGGAAGGGTGTACATATGTCAGCACAAAGTAATAAAGAATTTATTTACTGTGAATATAGATCCAAATAAATAAAATGCATACATGCTATGTACTATGCCACATACAAGGAATACAAAGTTAAACAGCAGGTGGACTTTTTCATAAAGCTTTCATAGTCTCTTGGAGAAAGACTGTGAACAGATAAACATAACAGAACATGGAAAGGGAGGAAGACCTGTACGAAAAAAATGTAGTTGGAATTAAGAGGCATTTCTGGCCTCCTTGCCGGCTGCCTTTAATTCTCACTATTCTACTGAACTTAGTTTTCTTTGCCTGTCCAAGGTACACAGCATTCTTGGCATCACACTCTTAAACAAATTTTTTTTTCTCTGTAGATTGTTTACCAATCCTTGCTTGCCTTTTATTTATTTATTTATAAATTTTTATAAATAGTAAGTATGAGTATTGTTTGATCAAATTAAAGTTGCATTTTTGTGTATATGTGTCCACATACAGGTATCTGCGGCCACTACCTAGAGGATGAAGAATAGCAAATGCATTTTCTGTATCTTAATATGGGCCTATTGAATTGCAATGGCTCTGAATCCTTCCGGTTTGATCTATACAGAGGCCAAAAGAAAAAAAAAAAGTTCCGTGAGTGGTAGTCTGAGAGATTTTCACCAAATAGAAAAATAAATATTCTTATTACATTAAAATTGGAATAAAGCTATAATTTGGGAAACATGGACCAGAATGTCCAAATATCATAAAAACATTGCAAAACAATTGAGGGTAAAATAGGTCTCAATAAGAATAGAAGCAAATAAAATGAAAAAAAGAGTCATTATTAGAAAAATTATGAAATAATAATTTAAAACACTTATCAGTAGAGTCAATTGGATTGACGGTAAATTGTTATGATGCAATAATCCAGTTAACTCTCTAATTGAGACACATTTTACCCTCATGCGTAGATTACTGCCCATACCTTAAGGTTTATATTGTAAGTTGCAAATGATTAATTATTTAAAATAATACTTTATATTATTTTTATAATTTATAAAAAAAATAGGTTTTTTTAATTTCCAAAAGAATCTGAAGTTATTTTATAGATATAGGACATAATATATAATTTTAAATTTTATTTTCCATTAAAGACTGATAATAAAGAGCAGTGACATTAAATCAAATAGAATATTAAAAACTAGAAATAAACAAACATGCTTAACATTTGGCATTCAAGAAGTTACTATATATGAGTCAGGAATCTTTCCTCTTGTCCTGTTTAGTTTTATCTTATGTCAATACCTCTATCAGTTTGGATTTCTGTTTTTGCCTTCTTCTCTGCATTTTCTTTGTAGAAGCAGTCTTACCCCTTTCCATCTACTTTCAAGTCTTCACTCAGCTGCTTCCTCTTTCAGAAAACGTTTCCCCAGTTGATCCAAGTAAGAGCCTCTCCCGTATTACCATCTTCCATTACACTAATTATGTTGTACTGACAGTATGTGTACACAATGTCTTTATTCGTAGACTAAAAATTCCTCTCTGTAGGGGAAAATTTCTTATCTATTTTTATATCCCCAGAGAGAAAATACTTGATTAATTATTTTGTTAAATATAAGTGTTACTAGCATTATAGTCATTGACAAATATGTACGGGTGCACAGATTCACTTCTTTGCCACTAGATGGCACTGTTAATCACCGTGGTGCTCTTGGATAGTGCCTCAAGCCTTCGTGCAGTTTTGATACCCTAAAGCTCTGAAAACTGTTACCTTAACTCACTTTGGAAGGGCAAAATCTGACCTAACTTGAACTTATTTTGTGGAATAATCTGACTTAACCTGACGATAGAATATTTATAGTCTTTTTTTTCTCTGTAATGTAAATATTAATATGACTGATTATAGGGTGCTATTCAAACCCCCGAGGATTATGTAACATTTAAATTAAGCTCCACATTACATTTCTCAAATACAAAAAGTTATGATTTCTGAAAACCAACTAGCTCAGGAGTTTTTGGTAGATGATTCTTGTCCTCCACCAACAATCCCGTTATTTTTCAGAAAATATTTTAATAATGATATAGAAAAGAATTCATTAAATTATAACCTATGCATCTGTGATAGCTCTAACCTCACCTATCTTAGCACCCAATTATGTTCCTATAAACCTTATTCTTTTTGCTTTCACAATATATGTCAATGTGAAAATTAAACTTTGAGAACATATGTACCTTTTTCTAAAATTTAACTGGTTACAAAATGTGGTCTATATAAAGATACTTCTTAACTTTTCCTGATTAATCTTGATTTTGTACCTATACTCTAGTATAACCGATAGTTCTATTTGAAGTTCGCTGTTGTTCAACTCTCTTATGACATATTTAAATTACATGCAAATGAGCTGGTCCCACATACATTTATATTTTTCTATATTATACAATTTTATAACTGTAGAAATATCTTCAGTAGTGCTTATTAGTATTCTAGTTTAAAATATTTCAACCAAACATGATATGAAAATAGATTTTCTAAAAGCTAACCCCACTCCTTTCCTCTTCTCCTCCAAGTTATAGGAATTTATTTTGAAATATTATCTGCCAAAATCTGTGAATACTGAAGTTAACCTTTCAAAATTTTTTCTTAGTAAGGTGACCACCAGATACCAGTTTCCTTGTTTCTTAATATGTGGCATTGCTTTTTCGTGTATCTTTAGTTGTTCTCAAATCTACGGCCTTATTTCTTGGCTTACTCTGAAAACTCCAATAAGGAACCAAGGGATGCACACATAATGTAATAGGAAGACCATCTGAGTATGAATTAGAATATCTGGGTCTTAGTCCCAGGGCACTTGCACAGTAGTTTGGCAAAATGATGCCTCCTGCAACCCTTCTGGTTCTTATAAAATGAGACTATAAAGTATGAATATTTCTGTCTGGCTTATCCATCTCACATTCTCATAATGATTAACAGAGTCATTCAGGTTGCTTCCTGCTTACCTGTAATAGTTACCTAGCTTGCTGAAAGAATTAGTGGTGGTTTTTCCTACTGTGAGGCCTGCATTTGTCAACTGGCTAGACTCAGACATTTTAATAACAATCCGAAACATCTCTTTGCACTTTGTAGTCTGAGGTAATCCAACCTGGAATATTTTGATTATCATTCCAGCTCCCTAACAAGTTATGCATTCTGGCATCCTTCCTACAAACCTTAGCATGATTTTGCTCTCTAGCCATGGAAAACATCAAAATGGATTTTGCAGGTAGAATCCACAGGTCAACCAAAAGTGTGGATATCACTATGGTTAAGAACACACTCCCTGGAGCCTAGGTCAGTTTTAAATTCTGTCTCTATGATTTACTGGCCTTGGGAAAATTACTTAACCTCTCTGTGCAGTTTCCTGATGTACAAAATAGGCATAATAAAAATATATTCCTCATAAATGATTTAATATATCTAAAGCACTTACAACTGTGCTTGGATCATAATAAATGTTATGCATGTGTTACGTGTAGTTTTATTATAATTTGAGATATAGTGTAATGACTATAAAAATATGAACTCTGAAACAAAATGGTCTGTTCTGAAATCCTGGCTACGTCACTTACTAGCTAAACATCCTTCCATGAGTCACTTAAGCTTTTTCCCATCTGTAGAAAAGGAGGTGTATAATAGTATATATACCTCATATGTGGATTGTGAAGATTAAATAATGTCTGTAGTAAACATAGTGTCGTGCATAGCACATAATATACATTCAATAAATGTTATTTTTATTACTAATGGATTAAAATTAGAAGGGTCTTAAATATGTCTCCTAGAATTCTGACAAGGGCTACAAGTGTTACATTGCTCTTATTTTATGACATAAGTTAGACAGGTAAGACTGGGAAAAAATGATATTTAAACTGTTACAAGTTAAATATAAACTGTCCATGAGATCCCCAAATAGAGATTTCAATTAAGAATTTGACATGAATCTTAGAAAGGTAATGTTAATGAAGTTAAAATTTTAGAAACCATCACTATGGAGATGATATTTAAATCCATGAAAAAAGAATCACCCAATAAAACATTAAACAGACCCGTAGAAAATTAAATCACCCAATGAGAGATTAAAGTCAGAGATTAAGGAAACCTTTTCTAAGCCCGTAGGAAATCCTGAATTTGGAAGTTAAATTGAGGAGTTAGAGAGCAAATGAGACAGAGAAACTGAAAACAGCAAGTAAACAAGCAAAGAGAGGAACAACAAATGCAGAACAGTGTGGAATCTTAATATCTAACAGAGGCCAGAACAAGCTATTTGTCAAAAGCTACTGTACAGGCAATTGAAGTAGGGAGGAAAGTATTCACTGGGTTTCATTATTTAAAGGCTGATCCAGCTTGACAGCAGGTTTCAGATAGAGTGGTGAGGTGAGGATGGAAGTTACTTTGTTTGTTTTGTTTTGTTTTGTTCTTGAGACAGAGTCTCATTCTGTCGCCCAGGCTGGAGGGCAGTGGCGTGATATCGGCTCACTGCAAACTCCGCCTCCCAGGTTCAAGCAATTCTCCTGCCTCAGCTACACGAGTAGCTGGGATTACAGGCGTCTGCCACCATGCCCGGCTAATTTGTGTATTTTTAACAGAGATGGGGTTTCACCAAGTTGGCCAGGTTGGTCTCGAACTCCTGACCCCAAATGATCTGCCCTCCTTGACCTCCCAAAGTGCTGCGATTACAGGCGTGAGACACAGCACCCAGTCAATGGAAGTTAATTTGAAACAGACTAAAAAGTAAGGAAGTGGGCACAGTAAGTTTAAACAACTTTTTGCTTACATTTAATAAGAAAGGAAGCAAAGAAGTTCAGGAAATCACTGTATAGGAATTTAGAGCCAAGGGAGGGCTTTTTGAAGAAAAATTCTGCTAAAATCTTATTATAGTTATAAATTGTATGCATACTTAAAAAGTTAAAACTAAAAAAAAAATAAGTAATTAAGGAAAATGGAAGAGATACGATAAAAGGCCATGTGAAGAAATTTGCCATTGACAGAGAAAGGAATTTATTTATTATTATAGGAGGTAGGGAGGATGACAAATTTAGACTCAACCAATTTTGGGTGATGAGAATAGAATGGGACTCAAATCTAGCAGTTTGTATATTTTTTAGGTATTATATGAGTCAGTGTTTTGTGAGAAAAAGATAAATCACTTCAAGATTTTACAACAGGAAGAACATAATGCAGGGAATTGATTGAACTGGTATGAAGGAGCTGAGCATCCACATAGGGAAACTGAGATAACAGAGACTGTAGACAGCAGAACATAACTATCACCTCTGCATTAGAGAAGAATGGAGGAGGAGGTATTACTAGTTCCAGGGACAAAGGTCACCCCACAGAAGCTGGAAACAGAGCCTGTCCACCCAATGAGAGCAGGAGTTGATACTGCTACTCCCAGAGACACTCCACTACAGCTTGATGACAGAGGACAAGAACAGCCCTGGCTTCTTGCTTCCTGATGTTGCACAATCTCCCACCAGTGCCTCACACTGGCAAAGCCAGCAGGCAACCACTTGTGAAGGAAACCTGGGAAATTCAGGCTTCAGGAGTGATGTCTATGCCATAGAGAAGAGGATGGAGCTGAAAGCAAACAGGGCCAAGGTGTCCACAAGTGTAAAGTGATCTCATTGGTGTGAACTGAGGAGAAAAAGAGATGAGAAGTGGGAAGTTTAAGGATCAAGAAAAAATGTGACATATGGTCATTGTGAAACAAGCACATGAACTTAATAGAGAAACAAAATGAGGCTAATTTTAAGTTAAATTATATGAAATTGCCATATTGTTAGGTCAAACATAAAATGTCGTATGGTTAAGACTGATAGTTTTTGCATTTTAATGTAAAAAATATAACTAGAAAATCATTGCATGCATTGCCATAATATGTATAATGTATTATTAGATAATATTTCTGTCATCAATGGTTGGCAGAGTCATTAAATTATGTTATAATTTAGCTCAGAGGCAAAATCAGCAGTCCTTAAAGAATGGCATTTATTGTGCTAAATTTACCAAGGCTTAAGGTATGGTCCTTATCCTTGTAGGCGAGAAATGAAAATTTTATTAAGATAGCTAAAAGTAATTTGGTTATAGGGGACAAACCAATAATAATCAAATCACCTGATACCAGTGTATAATGAACACGGAATAACATGTTTCTGTTTTATAATGAGGACTACAGCTTTCCAGTCACTGGGCTGTTCACATCCACAACCTAGAGCACCACACTTTTTTCTTCTTCAAGATGTTTGAGAATCCACTTTGCTAATCAGAAGTTTGCTTAGGCCTAGTAAGCACAGAATTCACAGAATTAAAGCAACGGTAAATAGATTGATTTGTGGGCAATTTATCAAGCCAAGGTGAAATCTGATGAAATATCCTTGCTCCTCCCTAGTACAGTCCTCTCTTATGATTAGTTTTTTTGTGTGTCTGCAGGCTCAGAATCAGCACCACCTTGGCTGTGCCTGATCTACATCATCACATTTTATCTTACTGACTTTACATTTTTCTTGGTCACCCTTTCTTTTAACAAGCACATCATTGGCTGATCTAGGGTTAAATAAATTTTATGATTTCATGGCTTGAGTCTTCTGTTATTATGAGTTGAAGATTCTGTTGTTGACTTCTCAAGACAGCTATATTCCCCTTATTTCCAAGTTCTTGGGTATGAAGTGGGGAGGAGTGGGTGCATTAGTCTATTTTCATACTGCTATGAAGAAATACCTGAGACTGGATAATTTATAAAGAAAGAGAGGTTTAATGGGCTCACAGTTCCACATGGCTGGGGAGGCCTCACAATCATGGTGGAAGGCAAAGGAGGAGAAAAGGCACGTCTTACATGGCAGCTGGCAAGAACATGTGCAGGGGAACTGCCCTTTATGAAACTGTCAGATCCCATGAGACTCATTCACTCTCAAGAATACAGCACAGGATAAACCTGTGGCCATGATTCAATTACCTCCCACTGGGTTCCTCCCACAACATGTGGGGATTATGGGAGCTACAATTCAAGATGAGATTTTGGTGGTGACAAAATCAAACCATATCAGGGAAGTATGTCATTGTTACCTTCGTGTCCCACAAAAAATATTGTTTGCTAGAATCACTGAAGAGAGTTTAATAACAATGAGCCCAAATGTGGAGTGTGTGTGTGTGTTTATGTGTGTGTATGTGTGAGAATTTAGGAGAATTTAATTGAATTCATCATAAAATGAGTTTTGGATCTCTAAGTTATTTAATAATCATATGTATACTTTGCAGTGAACAAAAGCCTTTTTTCAGAACATTTAGACTTATTCAAAGAATTAAAAATTATGATTCAGTAGAATATTTGACAATATTGTTCAGTGGAGGAGAATATAGTTAAAATTGCTAAAACATGTTTGTCTTTTGGAAGTAAAATTACATACAGTTTGTCCTGATTAAATGCCAAATAAATTCATATCCTGCTATTCTGTAATGGGAAAGAACTATGTCTAGTTCCATCATCTCTACAGATCATCATCTTGCAATACATTTCATTCCTCAACAAATTTAAGTAGCAATAAGACACAGGGTAGCTTTTCAGTGAGAAACATCAAAAGATATCCATGATCAAGCTTGTTCTTTCTATGCTATTAAGCACAACAATTTTATGGAAAGGGCTCATTGAAGTTGAAATTGAGAAAAAGATGCAATTATAATTTTTGAAACCAAGAGAATGCTAGAATAAAATTTTCTGGGCATGGTTTATAGCTTTTCTACTGTGAGAAGCCATAAATTTAGACTAAGAAAATGGTGGCTAGATATAAATATATTGATTTATAAGATGGTTAATAACAAAACTTTAGTTTTTAGCAATCAATTAGAAAAAAAGTGAGTAGAAAGAGATATATAATATTAGGAGCCAATTATTCAAAGTAAAGAATGAATGAGAAAATATTTGGCGATGTCGATGCCATACATCTCTTTGGGGATTTTAGTTTTCAAATCAATTTGATGTACCCTTTTCCCAAGAAACTTCTGTGAGATAATAAATGATGTGCTGGCTAAACATTTAGAAAAGCTTCTTTATAATTTTTTTAAATTACAAAGAGCAGACTTAGATTAGCTTTACGTCAGCATTCTATTACATGAGGCATGTGCAACCACTAAGAGCAAGTGCAATATACCTTTTTAGTAATCGTCACCATTGGATTAAAATTCCATCTATGCTTAATATTTTGTCCAAATATTAAAAACTTTACAAAATATTCTAGAAATAAATACAAATTTCTGGTACTGGCTGACAGAGTGTTATTTCCTTTAAAACATGCTAGTTATTTGAAGTCCATTTCATAAACATTAAGCTCATAGTTTCTATGCAAGCATGACCTACTAAAAATATCTAATTTAATGTTTTTACTGACTAAACTTCTTGCAAAAATAATGTCAACCCTGTTAACAAAATAACTGTAAGTAATTTAATACCGGTACTAGGAGTATTACCCTTGATTTATATCAGATTCCACAAGGAGCTTATCTAGTTTTTGAAAAATTAAAAGGAAAATAACCATGAGCCATGCAATGGATTGAATGTTTGCTTCTCCCTAAAATTCATATATTCAATTCCTAACTCTCAATATGATGGCATTAACAGGTGGTGTTTTGGGAGGTGGTTAGGTCATGAATGAAATTAATGTCCTTATAAGAGGAACACTAGAGAGTTCTCTTGTCCCTTTTCCCTACTGTGTGAGGCTATAACCAGAAGCAGGCAATCTACAACTGAAGAAAGGGCCCTCAGCACCAGAATCTGACCATACTCACACTCCAGCCTCCATAACTGTGAGAAATAAATTTCTATTGTTTATAAGCCCCCCAGTCTGTGGTAATTTGTTATAGTATGCGGCACTGTCTGAGGCAAGCCATGTAACTGAACATTAGCAATAAAAAGTTCTCCTAGAGAATCAAGTTTTTACTACTAAGTTACAGTTTTTATACTAATGGATTATATAACAGAACTGATTCTTGCATGTATTTTTTCAAAAAATATTTATAGAGATTATGTCAGGAGGTTGTTAGACATGAACAAAAATGAATCATACTCAGATCCTGAGCTTACAGTCCAGTTAGAATATGACACGGCCATAAATAATCATAGTAGAAGACACAAAGTGATGACAGGCGTCTGCCTAATTTCTGACACAATAAGTGCAGTCAGCCTTCCTCAAAACCATGTCCTAGTGAATACATAAAAGCCAGCCATAGACAATAATGCCAATTGGAGGCATTTCCCAGAATCCACTTGCTTGCTATTTGCTCTGAGCTCTCATCATTTTTGGCTGTAAATGTAGGCTTTCAAAATTACATTGTGGCTCTATGGCTTGACACACTACTTGTCATTCCTTCTCTGGTTTACTGACTTTAGCTACCCACTAACTCTTGGCTTGGTTTGCATCTCTGAATATCCTTTTCCCAAAAACTCTGTTAATAGAAATGTCTATTACTGATCCTGAACATTTAAGCATGACTTAGGAAAGGGAAGGAGATTCAGATAAAAGATTATGGGAAATTAAAGGCAGGGAAATTAGCAGAAGGGGAGATCAGAGGAAGCTTCCTAGAAAGGGTAGTACTTAAATTCTCTCTTTTTTTTTTGCATTAGTTGTGCTCTATAAAGTCACTATGAATACTGAAATTGCAAATAGTTAACTGTTACTTCTTGAAGAATACAGGATTAGTTTGCTGCAAGCATCTGGTAAAATTTTTTCCAACTGATTTATAAATAACCTTGTTTTATTTGTATTTCTGTTTAGAAACATCTTATTTAATGTACATTGTTGATTCATTAACATTGAAGTCTTGGCCAACAGCACCACAACTCATGCCTAAACAAAGCTAGTATAACAGGTGTATTTTCTCTATGAGGCACATCTCGGCCTTCTTGCACTGAGGAACACCAGACAACACTTAAACCCTATGCGTGAAGGTCATTTTAAACAGTGAAATCGCCAACCAAAGGAACAAAAATGAAAAAAAAAAAAAAAACCCATGGCATTAAATAGACTGAGAAAAAGGCATCTGGTCACAGAATGAGAGCTAAAATAAGAAGGCAGCAAACTGCCTTGTTGTACCTCAGCTGAGAACATTGGCATCTGGAGATTCAAATTTTTCACCATTCTGTCCACGTCTGCAAATTACTGTGGCAGTGCCCTAAGTATTTATTTTGGAATTACAAATGAATTTTAGTGAGCAGACAAACTTGCAAATATAAAATCTGAGGACAAACTATATTTATTCTAGGCCCATGAAGTTTGGGTAGGATTTCATCATTAGTGGTTGAGAAGAAAGGGTATTCAGTAATAGGCAATAGTATCACCAAATGTATGATTAACGGAAAGTATATGGCTAGAATTCCCGGAGTTTGTGCAGAAACTGGGAATAAGAGTGGCAAATCAGACCGGGAACAGAGACAAAAAGGTGCTAAACTATTGGATAATTTGAATTTTACACGTAGAATGAGAGTTTAAAACCTTTTATGTGGATTCACAACCTTTTCATCCAAAGGAGCCCTTAGAAATCCAGAATGACAATGCATAAGCAAGGAACAACTCTAGTTACAGAAAATGTGGGGGTCCTGTATCATCAATTTAAGCAGAAAGTTGAACCCACTGCAAGTCCTCATAAAAGGGTGAATATGGTTTGGGGATTTGTTTCACAGGTGATGGAAATCTGAGAATCAAAGAAGGATGGTGAGGCACCTGGAAGCCATCTGGATGCTATTACCACCTCTAGAACAAAGGGCTGCAGGAAAAAGGGAAAAGGTGGTGTTACTGGCACTGAAGAACCAGCACTACAAGGGGAATCTGAAACCAGATGGACCTGTTCTGCAGGACCTGGAACTACAAAATAAATATATTATTTGCAGGAGACACTATCCATGCCAGGAGAGCCTGCCAGGGCTTCCCATACGCTAAACACTTCCAGAAGGCAGCTGACTTTGGAGACTAAAAGATACTTTCTATATGGTAGAAGCTAGGAAAGCACAAGTGTGAGGAATGGTTCCAGCGACAAATAGGCCCAGCACCAGTGTGGGACCTGAGCCACATATGTCTCACTTCTCTTAGTTTGAATATATTAGAAAACCTCTGCATTAATCAATTCAAGATTATTGACATATTTTAGTATGTACAGTAACATAATCCATATGTGAATAACAATGCATATGTCTCATGCTAAAGTATTGTGCTAGGATATCAGAAGAAATTATATATATATATTATATATATATAAAAATATATTCCTTGGTACCAGTAACACCACCTTTTCAAATGTGTGTGTGTGGGGCGGGGTGGGGGGGAGAAAAAGAGAGGGAGAGAGAGAAAGAGAAGGAGGACCCAGAGTTAGAGTTTTAGAGTTAAAACTAAAATCATGGTTTCTTTTGTCAATAGTTCACCAAGTCTAAGAATTTGCTCTCAAATTTAAAATAGACAAGACAGTTGAACATATTCAATTGAAAGAGAGTAGATGTTTAGATTACAAATTGCCTATGTTTTTACTGAAGTATTAAAAGCTTGGGTTTCAAAATATCAAGACTGGTAAAGTTGTAAATTTTTATATAAAGTACATTTCTTAATTATATCATTTAGCTATACTTTGTAATGTCTTTTTCGCTGGCTAAAGGACAATTAGTCTCATGCCGAGATCATGCCATTGCACTCCAGCCTGGGTGACAGAGAAAGACTCCATCTCCACCACAACAACAACAACAACAACAACAACAACTATATATATATATAATATATATATATATTATATATATATAAAATATATATATATTATATATATATATATCCCTGCATTTCTGTATGCATTGATGAATTGATCTCAAAATTTATTGTTTAAAAAATGTCTGGGAGGCGGCCGGGCACAGTGACTCATCCCAGCACTTTGGGAGTCTGAGGTGGGTGGATCACATGAGGTCAGGAGTTGGAAACCAGCCTAGCCAACATGGTGAAACCCCATCTCTACTAAAAATACAAAAATTAGCCAGCCATGGTGGTGTGCACCTGTAATCCCAGCTACTCCAGAGGCCGAGGAAGGAGAATCACTTGAACCTGGAAGGTGGAGGTTGCAGTGAGCCGAGATCATGTCACTGTACTCCAACCTGGGTGACAGAGTGAGATCCTGTCTCAAAAAATAAAAATAAAAATAAAAATAAAAAATGTCTGAAAGGAGAAGTAATGGCCCCCAAAGATGTCCACAGCCAAATACTTAGAGGCTATGAATGTTACCTTAGAGAGCAAAAGAAACTTTGCAGACATGATTAAGGTTAAGGACCTTGAGATAATGAGATCATCCTGGATTATCTGGGTGGGCCCAGTCTAATCATAAGAGTCCTTAAAAGTGAAGGACTCTTCAGCTGTGGTCAGAGAGTGATGTCAGGGTGAGAAGGATTGGGTATCTCATTGCTGGTTCTGAACTGTAGGGAATAATGTACAAAGACCAGAGACAGGCCTCTAAGATCTGGAACAGGCTAAGAAATCCCCTAGAACAGGCAGATTATCCCCTAGAGCTTTTAAAAAGGAATTTAGCTCAGCTAATACCTTGATTTTAGCCCAGTGAGACCTATGTTAGAATTCTGTCTTAGAGAAATCGAAAATATATTTGTTCCATTTGAAGTCACTAAATCTGTGATAATTTGTTATGGCAGCAATAGAAAACTAGTGTAATAGCAATTCAATTCATTGCTAATTCATTTCTTCATGCTTCTATAGCCACACAATTTTATTAGGAAGGAAATCTCAAAGAGTTAAGACCAAGTTTTATCATTTTAAAGATTTTTTTAAAAGCTGAATGACATTAAAAGAGAAAACTTTTCCTGGAACACAGGTCTCCTGATGTCTAATCCATTAAGCCACACTGATTTCTTTTAGTATTATCTGAAATATGTCCTATTTTTATACATCTTGAAAACATGAGCTATTTTTCTATGAGATTATTATTTTCAAGGGAGACGGAAGTTGTGGTTACAGGTGTGCTCTTCTTGGTGGCACAAAGCTGAAACTTTGTAATCATTATTAGTCATACTTCACCCTAGCATGCTTCCATTCTTCCCAGCTAAACTAAGGTTCATGAAGATGGACAGGGGCTGTCTCATCCATCATTTCCCTGCCCCTCACATCTCTACTACCTCTAACACAGTGCTGGGTACTTGGAAGGCACTCATTACCTATTTGTTGAATGAAAACAAAAAAGTGACACAAATACTTTTCTTTAGGAAAGAAAATAACTCTATCTAATATTCCCAAAATAAACTCTACTAACATTTTGGTGATATAAATCTATCTATAGACAGAGATTAAGTCTGAATATATACATATACACATATATATATGATTATAATCAAATCAGTGTGTGGATATTAATGTATACATGAATTCATCCTCTTAAACCAGGGAAGCTACACTTTGTCCTAGGCTCAAATGAGTAGACAGATGACTGTCCAAAGATCACCCATTATTTCACAGTTCAACCTAGAAGCTATTTGTGATATCCAGAAACTGATACATGACTTAACAGATAATCAGTAATATGATATTAACAATGAAGAAAAAAAATTACCCAGAACCAGGAAATTAGACCTAGGTAATATGGCTCAACAAAAGCCGTGTTTACAACTATACAAGATAATTGAATATGCTGGAATTTATGAATGATGTGGGTGGATGATATGGTTTGAACATTTGTCCCCTTCAAATCTCATGTTGAAATGGGATCCCCAATGTTGGACATGGGATCTAGTGGGAGGTGTCTGGGTCATGAGGGCAGATCCCTCATGAATGGCTTGGTACCATCTCCCTGTTGATGAGTGAGTTTTTGCTGTATTAGTTCACACAAGGTCTGATTGATAAAAAGAGCCTGGCATCTCCCGCCTCTCTCACCATGTGCTCCCCCTTCACCTTCTGCCATGACTGTAGGCTTCCTGAGACCTCACCAGAAGCAGATGCTGGCACTGATACTATACACTGTCTGCAGAATCTTGAGCCAAAATAAACCTCTTTTCTTTATAAATTACGCAGCCTCAGGTATTCCATTATAGCAATGCAAAATAGAATAACACAGTGGGTTAAAAACACTTTCCTTTGAGGAAAATGGGGAGACTCAAAAATTTTATTCACTAAGCTCTGTTAGCCAATCTTGCATCCTTGTTTAAACCTGGTTCCTTTGAACATATTGCAAACATACTAATGTAAGTTCAGTGAGATTTGTATGGTATAGTGTTCATTATGTTCAATATTCACACAGTCATATGTGAATTTCACTCACATAGTGTCAGAAATGAGACATTGACAAAAATTTGTTTTAAAAATTGATACAAGGGGCCTCATACTAAAAAGTATAAGTATGTGGTTCTGAATCCTAGAGTGGCCTAATGTCAGGCATCCACTGATGGCAACAATCCTAAGGCCCTGCTGGGTAGTTCAAGCAGCTGGATTGTCTGAAGACAGAAGGAATTTAAAAAGGCAGAGTAACAACTACCTCCAGAAACAGTGTCAGGCTAAGAGGATTGAACAAGGAAAGACAAGGAAACACAACTAATGGGAAAAATTGAAAACTGTGCTTAGAAACTGTGCTTGCAAATATATAATCAAAAAGGAGGGGCCCACGTGAAGGAATCTTTGATCTGTAGGCAAATTCCCTGAATGTGGAAACAGATAAAACAGGAAATCAACCAAGGCTGCCCTTGCTGATGTCACAAGGAGTACCCAGGAGTAATTGAGTGATTACTACACCCAGGAGTACCACAGAGTAATTAAGTGAGCCAGTGCATCCTTCTCTATCCTGATAAATATGAATGTAATGAGCCAGGAACAAAATGAGTTAACCAAGAAGATACTGAATACACATTCATGTTATTACCTCAAGGGCCTATTAACTCATTCTTTGTAGCTGCCATAACATTATGTGTTAAGTCTTAAAAGAAGACACGGGACTCTGATCAGGCATAGCATAATATCATAATAATATCCTACTTCTAGGGATTAATAAAAATATAGTAGACTCTGGATATAGAAATGACCCATCTCAATAATTCTGGCTGAAAAATTAACCCCAGAAAATGCAAAGCTCAAACAAAACTGAAAAATCCCTATTTAGTCTGTACAGTATACAATAAGTATACTGTGTACATTGAAAGAGAGTGAATAAGGTACATGTAAAATATTCTAGAGCTAGTATACTTATAGCTGATAGAAATCACTCTCTTCCCTCCATAGGACTTAGAAAGCTGTAAGCTTTATTGGGAAATTATCTGTCTTTATCTATCTATCTATCTATCTATCTATCTATCTATCTATCTATCTATCTCTATCTATCTGTCTGTCTATATCATCTACCTAATCTATCTATCTCTCTTATAGTTTCTAGAGAGGAAAACAATTTAAATGAGGACCAAAACAGGTCAGACTTTAGGAAACATCAAGCAAATATTTAAACAAGTACTACATTTCAGATCATGAAATGCTTATTAGATTGGATGTTGTCACTAGCCTCACAAAGGTGGGTGCACTTTATATATAGCAGATTACATCAGATAATCTTAAATCTTCAAGGATGTCTGTACCATATATTCCTTGGAATTATTTAGGAATGCGTTTTCAGCAATGATGACTCTCATGTACTACCGGGTCCTGGTGGAGAGGCACACTATCTCATTCTGAAGCTATGAATACTCTCACATAAGGGTCAGCAGTACCGAGTAAACTACCCAATCCATTTTCCTTCTGCCCTTAGAAGACATTCCAGCTTATCATGGTTTTTTACCTGGTGAGGTGACCTGCATTTTTATTCCTGAGTGGTCTGAGTCATTATCAGTCCTGCCCAAATGGGGGTGTAATTTTCCATTGACTATAAGGCATGGGAAGTACCAAGAAGTACTTCCATTATGTCAAACATACCTCTCCTTTCTCTAAATTTCCCACAAAATTCAGGATTAGTATCCCCAGGAAGTATCTCCTTTACTTCAAACATACCTCTCTTTTCTCTAAATTTTTCATAAAATTCAAGATTAGTATTCTCAGGCAATATAGTGAAACCTCTTTTTATGTCTTTGATTCAGTGGCATAAAGAATCCATATTGAAGAGTTGGTGGTTTCAACTTCTAGTTCAATGAATTCAGGGTTGTGTCCCCTGATGGAAGCATTCCTCCCTTTAGAATGAAGACTTCTAGACCATCGGAGCCTAAAGTAATAGGGAAAGAAACGGTTGCTTGCAAATTTCTAGCAGTAATAGTGAGAGGAGTCACTCTTATTTCTAAACTTTGATTCCAGAACCCATGAATGCTGGCTAGGGGAGAATCATATATTCAACGCTTACTTACAGTATATACAAACCACATCCTAAAATACATTGCTTTAGCTCTGTAAGGTGTTGCCACCCAGTTGGTATTATAACGGAGTCTTCAGAAGGCCATCCACCATTTTATCAATCCAGCTGCTTCAGGATGCTGAGGCATGGTAAGACCAGTGAATTCCATGAGTATGGGCCCAACGCAACACTTCACTTACTGTGAAATTAGTTCTTCTCTTAGAAACTATGTTTGGTGATCATGGTATCTCTCCTGCCAGGTTAAGACATTCTGTAAGCGCATGCCTAGAAGGCATTGTAGTCAGGGAAGGTAATCCAGATCCTGGGTAAGTGTTTGTTCTAGTAAGAAAAAAAGTATTTTCTCCTCCATCATGAAAACGATCCATTTTAATCATCCTGCCATTAGGTAGCTGGCTGATCCATTTGGATAATGGTGCCATATTGGAAATTCAGTGATAGTTTCTGCTGCTAGCACATTGGGTATTCAGTAGTGGCTGTCACTAGACCAGCCTTGTTGAGTGAAAGTCTAGGTTGCTGAGACTATGTGTAACCTCCATCTCTGCCATGCTGGCTGTTTCATTCATCAGCCTGTTGACCAGTGACAGGAGTAGCTGGTGAAATTGGCTAATTGATGTTCATAGAATGAAACATCCTAGCCATTTGATTTAAATCTTTTGTTGCTGAGGTCACCAGGTCACCCTTTAGTGATATTCATAAGGGACACAAAATCTTTACATTCTGTGAACATTCTGAGAAGTTTAACCACATGTCTATTCCCTATGTCTCCTTGTAACTAATTTTACAATCATGTTCCTTCCATATTCTAAACTATTCAGCAATATCATTAACCACAGCCCCTAAGTCAGTGTGGACTCATATCTGGCCAGTGAAATAAGCAACCAGATGCTCTGCTCAAAGTTTTTGCTAGTAAAGGTTTCCCTTCCATTCCATCCTTCAGGACCAACTCAGAGAGGGACTGTAGTTCTGCAGTTATTCACTTTTGGATGTTTTATGATATTGTATAGAATCATCTCTAGGCTGGGTGCGGTGGCTCTTGCCTGTAATCCCAGCCTTTGGGAGGCCAAGGTGGGTGGCTCACAAGGTCAAGAGTTCAAGACCAGCCTGGCCAACATGGTGAAACCCCGTCTCTACTAAAGATACAAAAAGTAAGCCGGGCGTGGTGGCATGTGCCTGTTATCCCAGCTACTCAGGAGGCTGAGGCAGAAGAATTGCTTGAACCCAGGAGCTGGAGGTTGCAGTGAGCCAAGATCACGCCATTGCACTCCAGCCTGGGTGCATCAGGGTGAGACTCCTTCTCAAAAAAAAAAAAAAAAAAAAAGAATCATTTTTAAACCAAGCCAAAGCTGTTCTTTCCTCAGTCATTGGTGCTCATGAGGTAATAGGAGAGGGTTGAGAGAGATAAGGTAATATATCTAGCAGGAGTAGAGGCCAAGGGTATTTGAGTCACCTACTTTCTCACGCAACTTACTTGTACCTTGAAGACCTTCTTGAACAGGTCTTATGGATACCACTTCCATTTGATGAAGGAGTGCTGCCACTCAAAATCAATTTTACAGTTTTGTGAAACAAATAACGTCAAGCCCATAATGTAAACCTTTCATGGCAATTTTCTGGCTTTCAGTCAAACATTCTGTGTCTACCCAACACCATCTTCATAATCAGCTAGCATTCATGGGTGTAAAATCAAACAATGACAATGGGACTGACTTCTTTCATGGTTACCTTTAGTGATTCTCCAGTAACAATTTGGTTTCCTATCCCTACTAATTTAGGTTATTTTAGTCTAGAAATCATGCTTCCACAAGGGAGAATACTTCCACTAGGGGACCCAATTGTAATTTTCTTGAGGTTGAGACTGCTGCTGGCCAATTGGTACTCTTCCCTTTCAGAAATGGAGCTTACTTCCTTTCCCCTTTAATGTGAGCTGGATTTAGTGATTTGCATCTAGTCTATAGAATACAACAGAAGTGATATTATGTCACTTCCAAGATAAAGTTATAAAATGATTGAAGCTTTTGTCTTGGGTTCTCTTGCATGTTCCATCTCTCTTTGATCACTTGCTCTTTGGAAGCCAGATGTCATCTCACAGGGACACTTATGGAAGCCTATGAAATGACCCATGTGGTGAAGAACTGAAGACTTGGATCAAGTCCAGCAAAGAATTAAGGCCTCCCAACCAAGATATGTATGAACTTGGAAGTGGATCCTTCCTTAGTTGGCTCTTCAGATGAGACTGTAGCCATACTTGACAGTTTAACAGCAACCTCAGGAAAGACTTTCAGCCAGAATGTTCCAGCTAATCAGCCTCCAGATCTCTAACCCACAGAAACTGTAAGATAATAAATTGTTGTTTAAATCTGCTAAGTTTTGGCATAATTTATTATGTAGCATCAGATAACTAAAACTAACCAACATTAAAGTTGACCTGACCTACATTCACCAGGGGTTGGAACTTTGTGGCATTTGATCTCAATATGTACACAGCTCAGTGGAAGATCAGATTACACAGGAGGATCTTGCGAACAACTGAAAAAGCTTCTGCTTTGACTTGCATTAAATTAGACAGCTATTAGAAGGCTTTAAGCAGAATAGTGACATGCTATAATATATATTTAAAAGTACCACTCTAGTTGCTAAGTTGAAAATAGGCTATAGAAGGCTACAGCAGAGAGACATGTTAAGAAAGTATTGCAGTAATCTAGGTGAAGATGATTGTGTCTCAGAATAAAGTGTTAACAGTGAGTGTTGTGAAAAATGTTTGTATTTTGGATATATTTTAAAGTAGAACCAACGGTATTTTCTGATAAATTCAATATGGGTTGAGGAAAAAAAGAGAAGAATCAAAATGGTTCCACAGTTTCACCTGAGCAGCTGAACATTTGGAGTTACCATCTATTGAGATGTAAGTTGAAATCATGTGAAAAAGAGTCCAGGAGTTTATTTAAACATTTTGAGTTTGAGGCATTTGTTACATTTCCAGGCAAAAATATCAGGTAGGCATTTGGATATATATGAGCCTGTACTTTGGATGAAAGGTCGAGTTGGAGGTATACCTTTGGGAATTACTAGAAAATATTTTATCGTTAAAGCCTGAGAACTTGACAAGCTCACCAAAACAGTGTGTAGAGATAAAAAAGAGAAGGGTTCTGACCATAAGATCCTCTAAAATTAAGAGGCAAGGCAGAGTAAAGAGGAGGCACTAGGAAAAGAAGATGAGAATGAATACCCAGTGGAATGGAAGGACCATTATCCATTTCATCTGGATTACTGCAACAGCCTCTTTTCTTCCCATTTCTACACGCTCTCCCTTCCATTCCACAGTCCCCAAAGCAGCAAAACAAGTGTGAGTTCCTTTGTAAATCAACCTACAAAGCACTCTTGTTTTAATGCCTTTGGTAGCTTCTTTTTGCACATCCAAGCCTTGGTCTTGTATCGCCAAAACTTTCAATGGTATTCAGAATCAGTGCTTTATCCTGAATGTTTTCCTTTGGCCCTCCTGATTCTGATCTTCCATGCTTCTGACACTGACTATGTTAAATTCAGACTTTCTCCTTTCTGTCCTGCATATTACATGATTTGACAGATTTAGATGTTAGCATTCTGAACAACAGCATTTCAACTGACAGTTTGCTTTTAGCGTAGTTCAACAAAAAAGAACTGGGCATTTCAAGTGACACACTTGGTTCTTTTTGATATACATACTAGGAGCTGGTCCCTCTTCTGTGTGACGATTTGCAGAAAACCCCTTCAAAATAGGCTCAATAGCCCTCTCTATATATTTTAGCACTTAAAATTGATTAAATATTTATTATATAGTTCAGAAAAACATAGGCTACTTTTCCAAACCAAGTTACTTACAGGCTGGTAGATATCATTACCTTGTATTTAAATCACACTTTATAATTTGAATTTTATTCCCATAGCATTATCCATCACCTTAGTTATTATCAGTTAAACAAAGAACTTTGTTTTAGACAATAAACTCAACATAAAAATATATATATATATATGCTTCTTTCTAGGAAATTATGTCTACTGTTTTACTACTCTTACCACTTCTTTTACATTTTGCCATTTGTAATTTTATAAATGTCAGAACAATGTTTTATTGCATTCCTTGTTAGTATTGAAGTCTAGGAAATAATGAGTGCTACAAGTTTAATTCTTTAACATAAGACTTCTTTGTTTGAGCCGTATACACTCACAGATGGTAACAAGACCAGAAATGTCATTTTGAACAGAAGAAAAAAAATACAATCTTAGCAGTAATAGTGCACTTAAAAATGATGTAGGATCTAGCAGACAACAGTCATTTAATGAAAATCGTGGATGCTCTGTGAAATGCTTTAGCTGCCAATGGAAAATCCTTTTTTATATTTTGTTTATTGCCTTTTCCTTTTCTTTCAAAATTCCCTTTTATTTGTTTGTTGGTACATCGACTCCTAACACTACTGAGTTCCCTTACATAGCTGTTGTTTTTGTTTTCCTTTGAGAATTGTATATATTCAAGGAACCTAGGGATGCAGGGCAATTTTATTCTGGCCCTTCAGCAAGTCTGATTTCAATGTTACATGTTACTTCCATCCTCAGCATTCTCTCAGGCAGTTATTTTTTAAAAAATGTGTTTTCCACTTGCTTGATGTGTTTTTTATACTTTCATTTGCTGTCATGGATCATTCACTTTCCAGAAGTGCCTTCACTCTGAGAGGACAAACAGCCAGTGTTGCCTAGCTACATGCTTCACCATTACATTTTAGAGCACCCTCTTGGAATCTAAGTAGATTCATTCGTCTGAATAAAAAAAGGCATATCAGATTTCACTGTGCTCCTGATCTCCTCAGAAACAATTAGATACACTTATCTCACTTTGAAAAAAAATAAAGGAAATAGATCTTTTCTGTGTTCTGATACTTCCAGGTTTATGTACAACTGCAGTGCTTGATGGGCCCATGATAGTTAGGGAGCATTAGATCTTCCATTGAGGAGTATCTTATGTTTACAAATTCACTTCATGACTAAATTTAGATCATTTTTGACAGGTGTAAAAGTAGACTATTTCTTTTTTCGAGAAAATGATGTTTTAGGATGCTCTTTTCTTTCAAGTGGGTACTTTAATATTTGTGTAGAACTTGTCTCCATATTTTTAATGGGAGAATAAAAAAGACTTTATACTAGTAACATAAAGACGGGGAAAGTTAGAGGCAGAGAAAACTGAATTTATTCGCTACATTTTCACTATTTTAAATCTAATTTTCAGTGCAGTTGTTGTATTAAAAGCCACTTCATTGCTTTATGTAAGTACACATGTAGCTGCTCAAACAAATGCTACTTGGAATGGTTCTGTTATCTTATGCCAAACTCTGAAAATGCAAACCTGCTAAACCTAAACCTGCTGTCCCCCAAACCAGCTGCTTTTTTGGTATGAAGTTATGATAGATGCCTATGTGTGTGTATTTTTATTTCAGACTGAAATCTGTGAATCATCCTTGGCTCTCGTGTTCTTTAATCTTCAATAGTAAACAAGTCATGCAAATCCTAAGTCTGATGGTTATACTCTCAGATTTTGAGATTTGTGTCTTCCTTTCCAAACCCAAATCTCATCTTTACATTCATGACCTTCCACCTAATTGCCTACAGTACATTCTTATTTAACAGTGATGTCCCATTAAATTCACCGAACTGTTTCTCTGATTAGAAATGATTAGTAACTTCCCACAAGCTACAATTTATCCTTTATCCCACGATAAAGTTTATCCTGGGAAGGAAAGTACCTATAGCTTATCCAATACTGTTTCACTATTTCATGGTAAAAATCCACATTCCCGACCAGGCTCATCTCTTCTTTGCCTTTCAAAATGTTCTTTCCGTCTTCAATATTTTGGTATTTATTTCTTTTCTCCAACCCTTTAAAAATTTTCTGATATTTATTTTACTTCAATTTATTCATTTAATATATTATTTTGTTTTGTTATTTTATTTTTTAACAAAGTAATACTTTTGAAAAATCAAATATTACTAAAGATTATATAATGTGAAAGTAGCAAATCTCTTTCACTTTTCTCCTTCATCCATAATACTATTTTCTGGCATTCCATCTTTTTATTCAAATGGCTAATTTTACTTTTATTTACAGACATTTTCCTAAATAATCTTTATATTGGTATTTCTTGGCAAAAGTACTTCAGGCAATCTCTTCTTATTTCTAATCTTGGTAACTCAGAACTAAGCTCTCCTCCCTTTTCCTACCTTTAAATGAAGCAATGCATTATGTTTATGCCTCCTTTTTGGGCAACTTTATTATTTTTCCCCTAGAGTTTATCATCTCATTTTTTACTGAACTTTTAAAATGTACCCATTATTAACATGTTTGTTCTCAAAAATTCTGCCACCTGCCTATTTTTCATGTATTCTATCTTTTCAATTTCACTTCTTTTCTTGATGTCATTATTTTCAGGGTCTTTTCTTTGGTTTTAATATGGACTGGTTACTTTTTAGGGTTACTCAACTGCTGTCATACAGTTACTCACTTTGCCTGTGAGATAGATTCCGTCCTTTCTAAATCTCAAATTTTATATCTTCATTTTATGAGTCACACTGTCGAATAGATTTCCAACAAAGGACACATACAAAACAAAAATTTGTATTTGCATATCTGCAGTTTGCTTTACTCTAAGTTGCTACTTGATTGATTTTGGATTATAGAATTCTAGGTTAAATATAACTTCACTCAGAATTTTGAAATAATTTCTCTATTGTTATACCGTAAACTTTAAATTTGCTGATAAGTTATCTATTGCTATTTAGACTATTGATTTTACGTACATGACCTATTTTTATCTCTAGAATATTTTAGAATTTTTCTTTAATGCTTGTATTCTAAATTTTCCCATGATTTGCCTTTACTTATGTCATTTTCCCCCACCATTTATTGTTCTAGGCATCAGATAGCTCACCAAATGTCTTGTGGCATTTAACTTTAGGCAAAATTCTTTTACTTTTATATTTGTTAATTTATTATTTTCTCTGTCCTCTCTATAACTTTCATTGTTCTTCATCATGTTAATTAGTAAGCTGTTAGGCATCCTGAATTTATCATTTAAATTTATTATCTTTGTTTTCTAATTTATAAATCTTTCTTCTATTCCAATTTTAGATTCTCTTTGATTTATTCTCCTATAATAATGATGAAACAATTTTACCTATACTATTTTAAATTTCCAGTTCTTTCTTACTATTTTCTCATTTCATGCTGGCTCCATTTTTATAGATTTTATTTCATAGATATAATTTTTTGCTTCATTTTTAGTAACCTGCACTGTTTCTACTGGCTCTTTTTTGGTTTTGCTTTAATCTCTCTTTCATGTTTGAGATTTTTAAATAGAATTGTTTCATAAGCCTTAAATAACCAGTCATATTGATTAATTTATAAATATTTATTGAGCACCTAGTATGTGCCAAAGAATACTGTTTTATAAGATAGTAATACAATTTTTGAAAAACTTTTTAAAAAGAAGCATTGCCCTAGGATGGAGATGTTTAAAAGCTGATTGTGAGTTCTGGGTTTTATAATAGTATTTGCAGAACTGTTGTTATTGAACTAACTCTACCATAAATAACACACTCAATTCTGGAAATATTAATAACATAAAAAAACAGCTGTTTGAAAACTGGAAAGCAAACAAAACCAGGTTAAGAAAATAAATAAGGAGGATCTATGCTTTGAAAAAAGGGAGACATAATGAGAGAGATTTTCACCCAAGTACTTTCACCAGCACCGGAAGATAAAATTCAAGCAGAAAATTACATATTATTAACCTGAATACACAGAGTATAAAGTTCAGGGCTTTCTAAACGACTAAAAATTGAGGCCAGACGCGGTAACTCACGCTTGTAATCCCAGCACTTTGGGAGGCTGAGTCCTAAGGATCGCTTGAGTCCAGGAGCTAGAGACCAGCCTGGCTAACATGGGCAGAACCCCGTCTTTACAGGAAAAAAAATATATATATATATATTAGCCAGGCGTTGTAGTGCCCACCTGCAGTCCCAGCTACTCAGGAAGCTTAGGTGGGAGAATTGCCTGAGCCCAGGAGGTTGAGGGTGTAGTGAGCCGAGATCTCACCATTGCACTCCAGCCTGGACAACCAGAGTGAGACCCTGTCTCAAAGAAAAAATAAATTTTTTTTTGAAAGGCCCAATCCTGGGAAAGAAAAAAAGAGAACCATGTAAGAGAAGCTCCAAAATCTACACATAAAGTCTACTCAAATCGTTTGCTAACCCTAAACTGTGCTTGTACAGAAAAAACCCCTAACTTGCCCAGTAAAAAGCAACGGTTGTAAGGTTGCCGGAGATAAGCAGAGAATTTAGCTACTTTCCGGTACAGAGGTGACAGTTTTGAGCTCAAGTCTTGCCAAATTTAAAAGACCCAGGAAACACTTCGTTTTCCACTCACACCGAAGAAAGGACATATTTCAACATGGTTTCTCAGTACTAAGGAATTTATCACAAGACAAAGGGCAAATCTAAAAATGACTTGTCCTAACAGAAAATAAAACCATACCTTTAAAAGTTCAAGGCAAACCACCAGTCATTTAACAGCCTGCTTAACAAAATTCAACATTCCCTAGAAGAAAATACCAGAACCCAAAATATTTACAACTTATTAACAATGTCCATCATAATATGAAGCATTTACTAGATACACAAATAAACAGAAATTACGATGTAGCATTAGTGTAAAAATCAATTTAAGAAATTCACAAGTTACCCAGATACGGGAATTAGTATACAAAACTGTAAAATAATATGTTAATCCAGGTCCTGCAAGAGCACTTGCCAAGATACATTAATATGTGCAAGGAATTTATTAAGGTTAATTATTGTAATAAATTAATGGAACAGAGTTGTGAAAAGCTGGGGGTGGGGGGGCAGGTGCCATTGGACTGTGATGCAGGCCTGACCTTGAGTGAAGCAGAGAGAGAAGAAAGCTTAGGTGGTAGCATATTATACTGAACTGTAGTCCTAAAGAAGGCTTATGCAGTGTTCAGGCCAAATTTGCCCATCAAAGGAGTCCCGCATATTCCAAAAGAAGTCTCCCTCAGCATTACTATCGTGCTAATTCCTAGGCTGGGAGCAGCGTGTGGGGGTATATTGTGCTCTCCACACTTGGAGAGCTGGGCAATATGATCTCATGGCTGTCACTGTCCACTCTTTCACGACAGAGAGTTACTCTCTACATGGATTTGGGAAGCAGTTCAGCCATGATTCCAACGTATCACTTTTTTGAAGATAAGTTTAGAAGAGGAAGATTAGCCTGACTTGTAGTTCAATAGGATCATTCCTGTATTTCTTGGCAAGAGTACCCTTACTTTGGAGACCCAGCTAATTTTGCAGAGCCCATAATGGTCAGGATAGGAAGTACGAATTACCCAATGAAACATTGAAAGCGGTGGTCAAAAGAATTACTCTTGCATTCATCTGTTGGTCCTTGAAGTCATGTGTTATTATCTTAGGGACACTGTATCATGCAAAGGTCTCTGATTTAATACATTCCGAAGGGTGACACCCATCCTTTCATATTACTGCCATTGAGCTGGTGCTTCAGCTGTGCCTTTAGAAAGCCATTCCAACATGCTAGATAGATCTAAATGGTGCCGTATTGAGAAGTGACAGCCTGCTGGCAGCCCTCGCTCACTCTCGTGCCTCCTCAGCCTCCGCGCCCGCTCTGGCCACACTTGAGGAGCCCTTCAGCCCGCCTCTGCACTGTGGGAGCCCCTCTCTGGGTGGGCGGAGGCCAAAGCCGGCTCCCTCTGCTTGCCGGGAGGTGTGGAGGGAGAGGCACTTGCGGGACCTGGGGCTGCATGCGGCGCTCGCGGGCCAGCGCAAGCTCCGGGTGGGTGTGGGCTAGGCATGCGGCGCACTGGGAGTGGCCGGCCGGAGCCTCAGGCCCCGGGCAGTGACGGGCTTAGCACCCGGGTCAGCAACTGCAGAGGGTGCGCCAGTTCCCCCAGCAGTGCCCCTGGGCGCCGGGGCCTCAGCTGCCTCCCTGCCTGGCAGGGCTCAGGACCTGCAGCCCGCCATGCCCGAGCCTCCCCACAACCGTGGGCTCCTGCCCGGCGTGAGCCTCCCCGACAGAGTGCAACCCTCTGCTCCGCAGCGCTGGGTCCCATCCACCGCCCAAGGGCTGAAAAGTGCAGGCACTCCGCGTGGAACTGGCGGGCAGCTCCACCCGGTGGCCCTGGCCTGGCATCCACTAGGCTAATCCAGCTGGGTTCCTGAGTCTAGTGGGGACTTGGAGAACGTTTATGTCTAGCTGGAGGATTGTATATGCACCAATCAACACTCTGTGTCTAGCTAATCTAGTGGGGACTTGGAGAATTTTTCTGTCTAGCTAAAGGATTGTAAATGCACCAATCAGCACCCCGTCAAAACCGACCAATCAGGTATCTGTAAAATGGGCCAATCAGCTCTCTGTAAAATGGACCAATCAGCAGGATATGGGTGGGGCCAGATAAGGGAATAAAAGCAGGCTGCCCAAGCTAGCAGTGGCAACCCAGGTCCCCTTCCTGACCGTGGGGGCTTTGTTCTTTTGCTCATTGCAATAAATCTTGCTGGTGCTCACTCTGTAGGTTCACACTGCTTTTATGAGCTGTAACACTCACAGTGAAGGTCTGCAGCTTCACTCTTGAGGCGGGTGAGACCATGAACCCACCGGGAGGAATGAACAACTCCAGAGAGGAGGAACGAACAACTGCAGACGTGCGGCCTTAAGAGCTGTAACACTCACCACGAAGGTCTGCAGCTTCACTCCTGAAACCAGCGAAACTGCGAACCCACCAGAAGAAAGAAACTCCGAACACGTCCAAACATCAGAAGGAACAAATTCTGGACACACCACCTTTAAGAACTGTAACACTCACCGTGAGGGTCCGTGGCTTGATTCTTGAAGTCAGTGAGACCAAGAACCCACCAATTCTGTACATGGTATGTGTTATGATCAGCAAATCCAGTGGTCATATATCCATTCCCATACTTCTTTTACTGTGAAATGAGTCCCCTGGTCATGCTGTGTGAATATCTATAAGTCCCTGCATAGACTGGATAAAGCTTCATGGGCAGGAAAGAACACCTCATACCTGAAATTGGCAGCCGCCCTTCTGAGGATAAACTTCTGGTTCTTCAGTAAAGAAGGGACTTGATGTAGTTGAGTTATTAGGTGGCCAGTTGATGTCCTTGAGGAATTGTGCAATATGTGATGTGCAGTATTGGTCTTTGTTGCTGACATGGTCGACAATAACAGATGTAACTAGATAGACCTTGGTAAGCAGGAGTCAGTGGTGTTGGGCTGATGATAACCTCTGTATCTGCCACCATGGGACTCCAATCATGTTGCTATCATGTCAGTTTTGATGGCCAATGATAAAGGCTAGTTTAAGTGAACTGATCTATATGATCAGTACTTCTTTAGTGGTAGATGCTTCCTGTTGAGCATTAATATGTTATACAAAAATCTTCACTTTTCATGATTATTCGAATGACATTGTTCATCTAAATAACCCTCCGATTTTTTAGTTCTTTTCTAGGTCTTAACCAGGAACGATAAACAAATTCTCACATCAGGTCACTTCTCATTCAACCAAATAGGATGAATAGTGCATACTTACACCTGTGCCCATTGGGAAAATTTCCTCTCACCAGTGTCTTTCATGTATACTCGTGTATACTCTTGTATGTGGCTATGGTACAGCTGCTGTTGATTTTAGCTTTGCAACCATGCATCAAGCTAGCTCATATATAAGCCAAGTTTGGTCGGTCTTCTCCTCTTATTTTCATGAGGAGGAACAGCCCATAGAACCTGTGAACTCAATGTGAACGAGGTGATGGGTTTTAGAGTTTAACAGGCAGGACCACCAATCAGTTACCCTCCCTGCGGTCAAAGATCTGGTAGTTATCCAAAGTAATGTGTAGTCACTAAAAATAATGATAAATATTTTTAAAGATTCTAAAAGACAAAATAGATACAGTAGTTGATGAGATGGGTCATTTCAAGATCTTTCAAAACTGTGAAAAATAACTAAATGGAAATCATAGGACTAAAAAATAAAATATTTAAAATGAAAATTTTATTGGGTAATTTTTATAGCATATTGGACACAATAGAAAAAGGGATCAGTGATCTTTAAGACTTGTCGATTGATTTCACCACATTGAAGCACTGAGAGGAAAAAGTTTTGAAAAAAGTATAAAGAGCCTCAATGACCTGAGGAAACATGACAAGCAATTTAACATACATGTAATTGGAGGCTCAGAAGAAGAGAAGAGAGAATGAGACAGAAAAATATCTGAAAGATATTAGGTAAAAATTTTCCAATTTTGATTACAGATACCAATCCATAAATGGAAGGAGCTTAGCCAACCATAGATAGGGTACATATGAAGAAAACTACCTAGGCCCATCAGCCAAATTGTTGAAATCCAGAAGTTAAAAAAAATCATAAAAACAGCTAGAGTAAAAACATATTGCATAAAAGAGAACAATAATATAATGGCAACTGACGTTGCATCATAAAAGTAGATATTGAAAAACAAGTGACACCTTCCAGTGCCTAATAAAAAAGAAAACATCTGTCAACCTAGAATTCTATACGACATTAAAATATCTTGGAAAAATAGAAGTAAAATAAACATTATTTTATATAAACAAGGTTGGGAGATTTTGTTACCAGCAGAGGAAGTCATATAGGCTGAAAGGAAGTTACACCAGGTGAAAACTCAGACTTCCAGGAACTCAGAACCCTAGGCCGGACACAGTGGCTCTTCCCAGCACTTTGGGAGTCTGAGGCAGGCGGATCACCTGAGGTCAGGAGTTTGAGAGCAGCCTGGCCAACATGGCAAAACCCCTTCTCTATTAATGGTACAAAAATTAGCTGGGTGTGGTGGCGGGTACCTGTAATCCCAGTTACTGAGGAGACTGAGGCAGGAGAATCATTTGAACCCGGGAGGCAGAGATTGTGGTGAGCCAAGATAGCGCCACTGCACTCCCAGCCTGGGCTACAAGAGGGAGACTCTGAAAAAAAAAAAAAAAAAGAAAAAAAATCTAGAAATTGTAAATAAATGGGTAAATATAAAGGATCATTTTTCCTTCTTTTCTTAAATTCCTTAAAAGGCAATTCACTGGTTAAAGAAAATTTATAGCAATGTGTATGGGGTTTATAACACATGTAAAAGAAAAATAAATAATAACAACAGCACAAATGATAGGAAGAGGCTTAAATGGAATTATATTTTTGTAAATTTATTACATTATATGTGAAGTAGTATCATGTTAATTTGAAGTAGAATGTGTTATATTAAAGATTTATATTGAAACCCCTAAAGAAATTTACTTAAACACAATAAAGTAATATTGAAAATAATAATGTGGGAGATAGAATATAATACTAAAATATTAAGTTATTTGAAAAGAGAAAAACAAGTAGCAAAAAGATAAATAGGCAAACAAGTGTAATCAAAAGGCAGAGATAGGGTTGATTGCTATTTACAGGAGGCTCTTTATACATTAAGATACAAACAGGTGGATGATATATCACCACAAGATATACTGGGCAAACATAAAACATAATAAAGCTTATGTAAGCTATGTCCTTATTAGACACAATAGACTTCAAACAAGGAGATTTACCTGAAATAAGGAGGGTCATTTCATAATGATAACAACTCCAATTAATCAAGAAGACATAAAAATTCTAAATACATCCACCTAAGAATAGATAAATATGCAAACATAGTTGAAGATTATAATACACTTTTCTAGCAATTGATAAAAACAGTCATTAAAGATATGTTAGTATGGATATGAAAGATTATAAAATCTATCAACAGTTTAACCTGACATTTATAGAACATAACACCAAACCAGTTCATTATTTGAATCTTATAGGGATAGATGCATTTTGGAATACATAATTACTTATACTTTTAGAAAGACAACTTAGTATACATAATATTCAGATCTACTATATCTTTATCTATAATTATCTAAAAATCTCTAAAAACTACATTTTTTGATAAGCTTGAAGCCAAAGCTATTTTAGTGGCAGAACCTGACCCGACGTGAGGCACATGTTGTTTCTCAGCTTTCTCTTAGTGACAGTTGATGCTGCAACTAACTAATGGTTTACTGTTTGCTTCTTATTTTATGGTTTTATAACAGGGTGTCCAATCTTTTGGCTTCCCTGGGCCATGTTGGAAGAAAAAGAATTGTTTTGAGCCATACATAAAATACACTAACACTAATGATAGCTAATGAGCTAAAAAAAGAAAATTGCAACAAAGTCTCATAATTTTTAAGAAAGTATGAATTTGTGTTGGGCTGAAAGCCATCATGGGCTGCATGTGGCCCACAGGCCGCGGGTAGGACAAGCTTGTTTTATAATTAACTATACCATGAAAGGTTTGAGAAAGCTAAAGATGCCCCTGTCAGCAACAGTTAAAGAAAAAAGAAAGCATCTGTCAAGATCTAAAGGGCAGAAAACAGACTATTGCAGAGGCCTCAAAGCATAAAGTTGAAGACTTTAATGGATTTCCTGACACTAACAAGGCAATAACAGTAAACCTTATTTGTTCACCAAATGTGCATCAGTGAAAGTACAATAACACCAGAAAAAGCTAACATTGAAGAAATGATGAACATTAATGATGATTTGGCTGTTAGGCATTTCTTCAAGGGAAAATTATGAGATGGGAATATTGCTGAAATAGGTTTTAATATAGTGAAGCAGGAAGATAATTGTGAGAATGATGCTAATTTTGTGGGAAAAAATCTAGGTGATATGGTGAAACTGACCTGTTAACTGTTGGCCTCAAACAATGTTCTACAGATTGAGGGCAGTTGAAACAATTAGAAGCTGCTTGGATAGATACCATTGTTAATGCTCCAGATGACATTGAAAGAAGGCTTTAAAAGGCCATATCTCCTGAAAGCATTATGAAATGAAAGAAGCCAGTCAAAAAACACCACATACCATATGATTCCATACTTACAAAAGTCAAGAATAGAGAATTACATAGAGACAGAAAGTAGATTTGTGAGTGCTTATGGCTTTGAGGGAATGGGGAGGAAGGAGTGATAGCAAAAGAGTATGAGATTTCTTTTTAAGGTGATAAAAATATTGTAAAATTTATCTCAGTAGTTGGACATCAGCAAGATGGTGAAATAGGAGATTACAGCCCTCATACCTTTACTGAAACATCAATTTTGATAAACAACCGCTCATGAAAATATCTCTGTGGAAACTGGGGATTTTGGTAAGACAATTCTAGCACCCCAATCAAGCAGAAAATCTAATAATAGATGTATCAAAGATGATTAAAAAAAACAGTTTCACTTTACCTGCATCATTCCTCCCCAGAGGTGACACAGCTAAGTGCCAAGACAGAACCCCTCAGGCTGTGATTTCTTCCATAGGGTAAAGTGAGACTGCAGTGAGCACCTAGTTTCCCCAGCCTCACATATGTTGCCCAAGAGACCCAGATTACTGAAGGGATCTTCATGGCCGAATAGCTTTTAGGGAGCTAGAGAAGAAAAAAGGGTCAGTAGGTTACAGCAACCACCGTGCGGATTTAAAAAACTGGCTGCAGATCCTACTAACTGAATTGGGAACCCCACCAAGAAGCTCGCCCACAAACTTCACTGGATGTCTGACCTGCACGCCCCACCAACTGGTAGATACACATACAGCATTCTGAACACACTCCTGAGACAGCACAGGTGAGGCTCTGTGGATAGACTAGTACATGGGCCCTTGCAGACAGCACAAAGACAGCAACTAGCTTGACTCTGAATGATTGGGAGAAGGTACACAGTCTTGAACACTTTAGGGGACCGCCCTAGGGAAAATAAACAAGAGGCTATGAGCACCAGGCCTGACTTTGCAGGATTGAGAGAAGGCACAAAATTCCTAAAGCATTTCTCTCAAGAGAGAAAAGGAGCCACGAGGAAGTCACATCCATAAATAAGGCCTTGGAGAGACTCTTAGAATCTTTAAACTGGGCTGATTAGCGAAGAAATTTTTCTCCCAAAGACAGTCAGTAAAGACTAGAGGAGGGGACTGCTTGTTCAAATGTGAAGAAAGAACATGAAGGATCAAAGACACATAACATCACCAAAGGAACAAAATAAAGCTCCAGTGCCTGAACCTAAAGGATGAAAATCTATGAATTGCCTCACAAAGAATTCAAAATAATCATCTTGAAGAAGCTGAGTGAGCTATGAGAGATCAAATCAAATAAAGGATATAAGAAAAACAATGAACAAAATTTGAAATTCAACAAAGAGATACAAAGCGTTAAAAAAATAACAAAGAGAAATTCTGTCCCATAAGAATACAATGAACGAAATGAAAAAAAAAATCAATAAAAAGCTTTGGTAGCAGATTCAGTTAGGCAGAAGGAATCAGTGAACTTGAAGACAGAAATTTCTATTCAGCAGAACAAAAATAAGAACGAAAAAGTGGAGAAATACTAGGGGACTGATGAGACAATGAAAAAGTGAAACAATATACCATAGTCCATCCTTTTCTAGGGTGGATTTGCCTTGAGACCCCCAGTCGATGTCTAAAACCATGGACGGTACCAAATCTTACATATAGTATGGTTTTTCCTATACATACATACATTTAATAATGTTTAGTTTACAAATTAGCAGTAAGAGATGAATAACAATAACAAAATAAAATAAAACAATAATAACAATGTACTGTAAAAAAATTGTGTGAATGTGGTCTCTCACTCTATTTCTCTCTCTGAAAATATCATATTGCACTATATTCACCTTTCTTCCTCTTTGAATTATGTGATGTGCATTAACAAAATGCCTAACTGATGAGTAGAAGTGAAGTGAATGATGTAGACATTGTGACATAGCATTAGACTACCACTGACCTCCTTATGATATGTCAGAGAGAAGGACCCTCTGCTTTAGGTGATCCTGGATTATCCAGCCATAATGATATCAATGGTTGGATGTCAGGAGTAAATGTTGTCAATGGTTAGGGATCCTTGAGAGTTGAAGGTCTTTTTGGTGAAATGTTTTGTTAGAACCTTGTAATAGAAGTTGTCTCTTTTTAACTACTCAAAGTGTTGCTTCAGAGACTTTACTTCTCAGGTGATCACACCATTAATTTGAATGCTGCATTCCCTCTGAGGATCATATTTCACAATTTTGTCCTTTAAGGTCTGTGCAGTTTGAAAACCTTTGGCAAATTTAGGTAATGTCTACATTTCTGATTCAGCTTCAGTTTCTTCTTCCTCTTGTAGATGGCTCAACAAGTTCTTCCAATTTCTCATTTGTTAACACTTCTCAATGGACTTTAATATGTTCTTTCACATCGTCATCAAACATATCAGAACATTTTTCTTCACCAACTTGTCTTGCTGCATGAATAATTTTTCTAACTTTTCCCATTGTCTGTCCCTCCAACATCCCCCCAACCAAGACTTTAAAATCATGTATGATCTCATTCCATAAGTTAATCCGGCAAGCCTTTAGGTTTTATTTCATCCCTGGCAGTTTGATGAAAGTTATTGCATTAGCAATAGTGAATGATTTCCAGCACCACATTATGTCCAGATTAAGGTCTGAATTAATGCTGATAGAATGTGATCAAATACCAGGTGAGTATGCGGCCTTGACAAATGAAATGATGCCCTGGTCAAGGGGCTGAAGTGATGCAGCATTTGGAGTTTTACAGACAACCTTGACATTTTTATTTTCATACCAAGCAAATTCATCATCAGCTCTATAAATAGCTTAACATCACTTCAGGTCATATTTTACCAACAAATGACTTTGCGTCAAATTTTTTTAAAGTTCTTTCTAGAACATTTACATTGCAGAAATGCAGAAAAGGAATTATTGCTCCTGAGAACAAAGTGACAATTGATATCCGAGCTGTCCAGTAGATATATACACTTAAATTTTCTATTTTCTGGTAGCCACATTAAGAAAAGAGAAACACATAAAATTAAATTTAACAATAGTTTTATTTACCCATTATATTCAAAATATCACCATTTCAACATGTAATCAATAAGAAATTATTAATGAGACATTTTACATTTTTTCATATTGCGTCTTTGAAATATAACGTAATTTTATCCTTCCAGGAAAATGCATTTTGTACTAGTCACATTTCAAAAGCTCAAAAGCTACATATGCCTAGTGCTATCATATTGCACAGTGAAGATCTATGTAACTAGAGGTGTATCTAATGTAACATGGTAGTAGTATTGGCAAAAAACCTCAAAATTGAACACTAAAAATAAACAGGACTAATGGAAAAAATAAGAATGGAATATATATATCACTCAAAACCCATGCAACTTTGGTAAACTGAGCCACAATGAATCAATGATTTGTATCTGGAAAAATAGCACAAAAAGCCCAGTGAGGCAGCTCAGCTTCCAGAATTAATTTTAAAAGTTCAGAGTAGTTATATTGGCAATATTTTACATAGAATCGAGCTGATCTTGCCAAGGGAGTATGGATGGAAATATTCTGTTAGCTATATATTTGTTTCTTTTAGATGCACTTTACCTGTTATTTCTAGTTTGCTGGGAGTTTTTGTCATGGATAGATGTGTATTTTTGTCAAATGCCTTTTCTGTATCTACTGAAATAATCATATGATTGTTTTTAGAGTGTTGATATGGTTAACTGAATGAATTATTTTTAATAGACTATTTTTAGAGCAGCTTTAGTTTAGCAGCAAAATTGAGTGGAAGATACAGAGATTCCCTATATATTCCCTAGCTCAATACATGCATAGCCTCCCCCATTAACATCCTGCACCCAGGTAGTACATTTCTGACAATCAGTTATCCCTGCACTGACATATTATTATCACTCAGAGTCCATAGTTTACATTAGGATTCACCCTTGGTGTTGTACATTCTACGAATTTGGACAAGTATGTAATGACATATACCCACTATAATAGTATCATTCAGAGTAGTTTTACTGCCCCCAAATCTCCGTGCTCTGCCTATTTATCCCTCACTCCACCCTCACCAAACATCTGGCAACTACTGATATTTTTGCTGTCTCCATGGTTTTGCCCTCTCCAGAATGTCACCTAGTTGGAATCATACAGAATCTAGATTTTTCAGGCTGGCCTATTTCACTTAGTAATACACATACGGTTCTTCTATGTCTCTTCATGGCTTGATAGCTCTTTTTTTTAATGCTGAATAATATTTCATTGTCTGAATGTACCACAGTTTATTTATCTCTTCACCTCTAAAGGATATCTTGGTTGCCTCCAAGTTTTGCTGATTCATTTTTTTAAGCTGCTATAAACATCCATGTGCAGGTTTTTGTGTGGACATGAGTCTTCAACTTCTTTGCATAAATACCAAGGAGTGGGATTGCTGGTTCATGTGATAAGAGTATGTTCAGTTTTATAAGAAACTGCCAAATTGTCCTCCAAAATTGCTGTTCCATTTTGCATTCCCATCAGTGATGAATGAGAGTTCCTGTGTTCCACATCCCTGTCAGCATTTGGTGTTTTAAACTTTGCCCACTCTAATAGGTGGGTAGTGTTGTCTCCTTGTTTTAATTCACATTTCCCTAATGACACATGATGTGGAGAACTTTTTAGTTAAATTAATTATTTTTGAATGATTAATCAGCCTCATATTCTCAATATAAATCACACATAATCTTGTATTTATCTTATAATGCATTACTGTACTCAATTTACTAGTATTATATTTTGGTGAGGATTTTTTCTTCTGTGTTCATGAAAGGTATTGGTTCCTTGTTTTTACTTCTTGTAATGTATTTGTATAAATTTGGAATGAGATTGTTTTTGTATGATTGGTATTATTCCTCCATAAATATTTAGTAGAATTTTTCACTGAAGACGTCTGTGCCTGATGTTTTCTCTGATGGGATGGTTATCTATTCCTTCTTATGGGAGCTTTAGTAGTTTATGACTTTCTAGACATCTCATTTTATCTAAGTTGTACATCACACACATTTTTTGCTCATAGAGTATGACAAGAGTATGTTTAGTTTTGTAAGAAACTGCCAAATTGTCCTCCAAAATTGCTGTTCCATTTTGCATTCCCACCAGTGATGAATGAGAGTGATGAATGGCACTTACATATATTTCTTAAGCCTTCTCTTTAAGGAACTTAAATTTATAAGAGAAAGACAAATAACTCCATTAAAAAGTGGTCAAAGGACATGAACAGATGCTTCTCAAAAGAAGACATGGCCAGGTGCAGTGGCTCATGCCTGTAATCCCAGCACTTTGGGAGGCTGAGGCAGGCAGATCACCTTAGGTCAGGAGTTCAAGATCATCCTGGCCAACATGGTGAAACCCATCTCTACTGAAAATACAAAAATTAACCAGGCATGGTGGAGCACACCTGTAGTCACAGCTACTCGGGAGGCTGAGGCAGGAGAATCGCTGGAACTAGGGAGGCAGAGGTTGCAGTGAGCCGAGAGTGTGCCATTGCACTCCAGCCTGGGCAACAGAGTGAGACTCCATCAAAAAAAAAACAAAAAAAAAAAAACCAGAAGATATACGGCAGCCATCAAGCATATGAAAAACAGCTCAATATCACAGATCATTAAAGAAATGCAAATCAAAACCACAATGAGATACCATCTCAACCAGTCAGAATGGCTATTATTAAAAGGTCAAAAAATTACAGATGATGAGGAGGTCATGGAGAAGAGGGAATGCTTATACACTGTGGGTGGGAGTGTAAATTTGTTCAACAATTGTGGAAGACAATGTGGCAATTCCTCAAAGACTAAAGGCAGAAATACCATTCAATCCAGCAATCCCATTACAGGGTACATACCCAAAGAAATATAAATCATTCTACCATAAAGACACATGCACATGATTGTTCATTTCAGCACTATTCACAATAACAAAGACATGAAATCAAACTAAATACCCATCAATGACAGATTGGATAAAGAAAATGTGGTACATATACACGATGGAATACTATGCAGCCATTCAAAAGAATGAGATAATGTCTTTTGTGGGAACATAGATGGAACTGGAGGCCATTATTCTTAGCAAACTAACACAGGGACAGAAAACCAAATACTGCATGTTCTTGTAAGTGGGAGCTAAATGATGAGAATTTATGAACACAAAGAAGGAAACAATAGACACTGTGGTCTACCTGAGGTGGGAGCGTGAGAGGAGGGAGAGGAACAGAAAAGATAACTACTGGGTACTGGGCCTAATACCTGGGTGATGAAATAATATGTATAACAAAACCCTCTGAAATGTGTTTATCTATGCAACAAACCTTCATGTGTACCCCAAACCTAAAATAAAAGTTGAAAAAATAAAATTATATACATAGAAAATTTTCTGTAGAATGTCTAGTGTAACTCAGTGTATATCATAATTCTTAAAGCAGATATTTCTACTTACTGTATAAATAACTTTTCATTGTTAATTGTATGTAACAGATTACATTAGTTAAGTACAATTTTACCTCTAATTACAAAGTTTTCTATTATTTTTCTTTAATTTCTAATTGAAAGTTCTGCTTTGTATAACAATTTGCTTACCAAGCATACTTATAACTTTAAAAAAATCTGTATCATTTACTTATTATGCCAATCAGAATAAAAGTGTTAACAAATAATTTTTTAAAAAATCTTGCTTAGAAGTTATTATGGGTGATCATCACCTACATTCTAGTAACATATGCTGATGCAAAAATATTGAGAAGATGGATTGCAATTTTTGCTTATATTCTCTCCTTAAAACATAAATTTAAGCATTTGTAGTCTTAAATGTATATTATCTTCTCTGCCACCATAATAGAATCAAATATGTTTTCTTCTAAGCTATAGGTTTACATGAAAATTGTTCATTAGTTAGGAATTTCAGTATTGAGTTATTTAGGTCACAACTTCACTGACTTAGATTGTTTGGCAAGGTATTAATTTATTCAGCAAATGTCACTGACAGACTATACATTAGGTGTAAGGTGAGAATTAAGTGGTGATCAAACCAGAGGTTTTTCTAGCTTTATAGCACTTACAGCTTATTAGTAGATAAAAATTGAAATATTCACATCAAGAAATGTACAATTGCTATTCCAAAAAATCCTATAAAAGAGAGATATATGCCTGCATAAGACCCTGTAACAGGAGAATTTCATCTGGTTAGGAAATTTAGATGAGGCTTTTCCAAAGAAGTGACACTAGAATGAGATTTGAGGAATGAGAAGTTAAGTCAATGGTGGGTGAATGTAATTTAAGTAGGAAAGCCAGCATATGCTAAGGACCTGTACCTGGTGGAAGTATGTGAGGTGTGAAGAGTAGATAAAGGGCAGCTTAGCTGGAGCAAAGTCATAAGAAGGAGCAGGGTAACATGGTTGGCTGGAAAGGTCAGCAGGGGCCAAACCCTTCAGAGACGTGCAGGTCATGACAGTAAGTTTTACCTGTAGGCTCGGTATTGTGGGATTGCAGCTCTCCCCCTCCCATCCCCCCAAAATGAGAAATCATTAAATGAGATTGTCACATACATAAAGTTTACTCTGGCTATAGTGTGAAGAATAGGTAAAAATCAGGGTAAATGCAGGAATGCCAATGGTGAGATGGTAGCTTAAACTGAATGGGGGCGGGACTAGAAGATAGGCTTGGAGAAATTTGGAAGGAATTTGAATTTTCAGGGAAAATTGGCATCACATTGAGATTGGTAAGGCATGAGTATTGAGATGTGATAAGTGCCTGAAAGGTCTCCTAGTTTCCTTGCCTTTGGTTTGGATGCAAAGATGATGGTTCCATAAACTGAGATAGGAAAAAATGGAGGAAAATAAAGTTGCAGGTTATTTTAGTCTGCTCAGGCTGCTACAACAGATCTGGGTCCTGGTGAAGACTCCCTACCTGTTTTACAGACGGCCACCTTGCTGTGTCATCACATGGCGGAGAGAGAGAAAAAGATCTGGTCTCTCTTCCTCTACTTATAAAGTCACTAATCCCATTGGGGGCCCCACCCTCATGAACTCATCTAAACCTAATTATCTCCCAAAGGCCCCACCTTCGAATGCCATTACATTAGGGTTAGGGCTTCAAGGTATGAATGTGGGGGAGTAAATACATTCAGTCCATTATACAGGTAGAGGAGGACTATGAACAACATCTTGAATGTGAGGCTCTTGAGATATGCCAGTGGAAATGAGGAAAAGGCAGTATGATACATATCTGATCTCAGAGGAGAAATTTCATCTAGAAATATGAATTTCTTAAAAGAGATTACTTGGGCTTTAAATATTTTAGATTTTTTTTTTGATAAAGGGAAAGGACCTTACTTTTATTGGATAGCATATGTAGATAACAATATTGGGTTTCAAGCTTCCATCTATTCCCACAAGTCTTTGAGGTCTATTATTACTTCTATTGTATAAATAAAGACATTGAGCATCAGAGAATTTAATTTGCCTAAAGGTATTCAGAAAGTGAAAAGTCGGAATTGGACAACAGGCCTTTTAATTTCAAATCCTAGATTCTTTTCCTTCAGTTAAGACAGTCTTGGGTGCCTTGAAATATTTATATGTACCTAAACACTTTGCTTAAGCATTTCCAATACTCTATATTGCATTTTTAAAAATTATTTACACAATTCATGAAAAAGAATGTGCTAAGAAACAGTATACTTAATTCTAATCCTTTTTAAAAATTCTATACATTTTAAAGAAATAGACCATTCATTTGACTTATGAAAACCCATTTTTTCCATCTTCAGTTTCACATGATAGCAGAAAGCCAAGTGAGAGAAGCTATGACTAGAAAAAGAAATTTCAAATCTGCTTTAAAGAGGCAAGTTTGTGATTACTTTGCATACTGATGGAAAGCATTTTTGATTTATCCAAGAGATGTGACCCATTTATTTTCTAATTTTTGAATTTTTTTACGGACTTATCTTTGCCAGTATACTAAGACCTTTTCAAGGGCAAGGTTCTTGTCTTGTTTATTATTCTTGCCTTCATTGTTATATCACTAATATTTATGACTATCTCTGGTGTATTAGCAATTACCCAGGAAATGCTGTGGATACATAAACTGGATTCTGAACATCCTTCAAGGTGATATGTGACCACGATTTTCATGGGGTTTCTCTAACTATCCTAACTCATAGCCACCTCTTCCTTCTCTAAATTCTTAGTCTGAATCACATGTGTAATCATAAGTGTATGTTTTGTTCTAATTATTGTATTATATTTCTGTTTCCTAACAACGAAATTGTTAGATCCTTAAGTAAAAGGACCACATGTTATAATTGTTTTGGTTATTAGTTCATTGACTGAAACTTTAATTGTGAACATTTAGTAAATCCTACTTTTTTCTGTCTAACCTTTTCTAACTCCCCCAGGCTAAGCTGATGAAATGATTGCTTACTAGCAACCAAATTGTTTAGTTCACAATTGAATTTCTGTCTTCTTGGTTAGATTTTTATCTCCTCAACGGTAGATATCTTAGAGAGCACTTTGTTGATTGTAAACGGCAAAAACAAACTAGAAACATTTTCAGAAAACAAAGAATGTATTACAAGGATGCTCGCTGGGCCCAAAGGTAGCAATAATGCCGGACTTCAGAAATAACTGGAAATAATACTGCTAATCCCTACAAAAATATCTCTAAATATCAATTTATCTTATCTGGAATCATCTCTGAATTTCTTGCTCTCATTAGATACCTCTTTTGTCAGTTTTCTAATCTACTGGGTAGAAATTTGTCCCTGGACATCTTTGGGGATTTAACCATTTCTGCCTGGCTTCACAGGGGTCCTTTGGGAAGGCAGCCAGAGGCACTGGGAAAAGGCCAGAAGGAAAAGGAAATCTCCAGCTGAACTTTGTAACAATTTGAACTGATCGAGAAGTCTCCTGACCAGAACTTGGGGGAGGGCATGAGTCTGGTGTGCAGATTCCAAAGGCTGGGAAAGAAGGAAAGCTATACTTGCTTTTGCAACTGGGAGGCGGGTAGCCTGGGGCAAATTCTCAGCCCTGCTTGCCCACTGCCTGGAAACAGTCTGGTGCTGTTGTAGGGGCATGGTGGGAGTGACACTGGCCCTTTGAATTGCATGGGAGTAGGGTGAGGCCTGTGACTGCCGGCTTTCCCTCACTTCCCTGACAACCCTGAATGACACAGTTAGAGACAGCCATAATCGTCCTAGGAACATAACTCCATTAACCTGGGAACCTCATCCTCATCTCTCACAGCAGCCGCAGCAAGACCCACCAAAGGAGAATCTGAGCTCAGACATACCTAGCCCAGGCCTTACCCAGTGGTCTTTCTCTACCCACCCTGATAACTGAAGACAAAGGGCATATACGCTTGGGAGTTCTAGAGTCCTGCACACCACCTGTTCCTCCGCATACTACAGTTGATGCTCTCTGGAAAGCACCAACTCCTGGCAGGGGGCCAACCAGCACAAAAATAGTGCATTAAACCACCAAAGCTAAGAACCTTCACAGAGTCCATTTTATCCCCCTGCCACCTGTACCAGAACAGGTGTTGGTATCCATGGCTGAGAGACCCACAGGCGGTTCACATCACAGGACTCTGTGCAGACAACCCCCAGTACCAGCTCAGAGAGTGGCTAGATCCAGAAGAGAGATAACAATCACTACAGCTTGGCTCTCAGGAAACCACATCCATAGGAAAAGGGGGAGAGTACTACATCAAGGGAACACTTGTGGGACAAAAGACTTTGAACAATAGACTTCAGCCCTAGACCTTCCCTCTGACAGAGCCTACCCAAATGAAAAGTAACCAGAAAAACAACTCTGGTAATATGACAAAGCAAGGTTCTTTAACACCCCCAAAAGTAACACTAGCTCACTAGCAATGGACCCAAACCAAGAAGAAATCCCTGATATACCTGAAAAAGAATTCAGGAGGTTACTTATTAAACTAATCAGGAAGGCACCAGAGAAAGGTGAAGCCCAATGTAGGGAAATCCAAAAAAAAAAAAAAATGATACAAGAAGTGAAGGGAGAAATATTAAACGAAATAGATAGCATTAATGAAAAACAAAACCTCAGGAATAAATGGACACACTTTTAGCAATGCAAAATGCTCTGGAAAGTGTCAGCAATAGACTAGAACAAGTAGAAGAAAGAAATTCAGAGCTTGACGATAAGGTCTTCAAATTAACCAAATCCAATGAAGACAAAGAAGAATAAGAAAATATAAACAAAGTGTCCAAGAAGTCTGGGATTATGTTTAGCAACCAAACCGAAGAATAATTGGTGTTCCTGAAAAAGAAGAGATCTCTAAATATTCTAAAATATATTTGGAGGAATAATTGAAGAAAACTTTCCCAGCTGTGTTAGAGAACTAGACATCCAAATACAAGAAGCTCAAAGAACACCTTGGAAATTTATCACAAAAAGATCTTCACCTAGGCACATTGTCATCAAGTTATCTAAAGTTAAGATGAAGGAAAGAATCTTGAGAGCTATGAGGCAAAAGCACCAGGTAAACTATAAAGCAAAACCTATCAGTTTAACAGCGGATTTCTCAGCAGAAACCCTACAAGCTAGAAGGGATTGGGGCCTTATCTTCAGCCTCCTCAAACAAAAAAATTACCAGCCAAGAATTTTGCAGCCAGCAAAATTAAGCATCACAAGTGAAGGAAAGAATACAGTATTTTTCAGACAAACAAATGCTGAGAGAACTTGCCGCTACCAAGCCAGCACTACAAGAACTGCTAAAAGGAGCTCTAAATCTTGAAACAAATCCTGGAAACACATCAAAACAGAAAGTTTTTAAAGCATAAATCTCATAGGACCTATCAAACAAAAATGCAATTTGAAAACAAAAAACCAAGGTATACAGGCAACAAATAGCATGATGAATGGAATGGTACCTCACATCTCAATAATAACATTGATTGTAAACGGCCTAAATGCTCCACTTAAAAGATACAGAATTGCAGAATGGATAAGAATCTACCAACCACTATCTTCTGCCTTCAAAGACACACCTAACACATAAAGACTCACATAAACTTAAGGTAAAGGGATGGAAAAAGATATTCCATGCAAATAGACACCAAAAGGAGCAGGGGTAGCTATTCTTACATCAGACAAAACAAACTTTAAAGCAACAGCAGTTAAAAAAGACAAAGAGGGACATTATATAATGACAAAAGGCCTTGTCCAACAGGAAAATATCACAGACCTAAATATATATGCATGTAACACTACAGCTCCCAAATTAATAAAACAATTACTAATAGATCTAAGAAATGAGACAGAAAGCAACACAGTAAGAGTGGGGGCCTTCAGTACTGCACTGACAGCACTAGACAGGTCATCAAGACAGAAAGTAACAAAGAAAGAATTTGTTCTTTAAAGTATCCCTGGAACAAAAGGACCTAACAGATATTTACAGAACATTCTACCCAAAAACAGCAGAATATACATTCTATTCAACAGCACATGGAACTTCCTCCAAGATACACCATATGATAGGCCACAAAATGGGCCTCAATAAATTCAAGAAAAGTCAAATTATGTCAAGCACTCTCTCAGACCACAGTGGAATAAAACTGTACATCAACTCCAAAAGGAAACTTCAAACCATGCAAATACATGCAAATTAAATAATCTTCTCCTGAATGATCATTGGATCAAAAATGAAATCACGATGGAAATTAAAAAATTATTCGAACTGAACAATAGTGACAAAACCTATCAAAATCTCTGGGATATAGCAAAGGTGGTATCAAGAGGAAAGTTCATATCCCTAAATGCCTACATCAAAAAGTCTGAAAGAGCACAAACAGACAAACTAAGGTCACACTTCAAGTAACTAGAGAAACATGAACAAGCCAAACCCAAACCTAGCAGAAGAAAATAACCAACATCAGAGCAGTATTAAATGAAATTAAAATGACAACAAAAAAATTCAAAAGATAAATGAAACAAAAAGCTGGTTTCTTGAAAAGATAAATAAAATTGATAGACCACTAGTAAGACTAACCAAGCAAAGAAGAGAGAAAATCCAAAGAAGCTCAATTAGAAATGAAATGGGAGATATTACAACTGACACCACAGAAATAGAAAAGATCATTCAAGGCTATTATGAACACCTTTATGCACATAAACTAGAAAACCTAGAGAGATAGATACATTCCTGGAAAGATACAACCTTCCTAGATTAAATCAGGAAGAGTTAGATACTCTGAACAGACCAAACACAAGCAGCAAGATTGAAATCGTAATAAAAATTACCAAAAAAAAAAAAGTCTGAGACCAGACAGATTCACAGAAGAATTCTACCAGACATTCAAAGAAGAATTTATACCAATCCTATTGACACTATCCCATAAGACAGAAAAGGAGGGAACCCTCTCTAAATTATTCTATGTAGTCAGTATCACTCTAATATGAAAATCAGGAAAGGACATAACTAAAAAAGAAAACTACAGATAAATAACCCTGATGAATACAGATGCTAAAATCTTTAACAAAATACTAGCTAAGTGAATCCAACAGCATATCAAAAACGTAATCCACTATGTACAAGTGGGTTTCAGACCAGGGATGGAGAGATGGTTTAACATACACAAGTCAATAAATGTGATACACCACATAAACAGAATCAAAAACAAAAATCTCATGATCGTCTAAATAGATGCAGAAAAAGCATTCAACAAAATCCAGCATTGCTTTATGATTAAACCAGAGCCAACATAATATTGAATGGGGAATAGTTGAGAGCATTCCCTCTGGAAACTGGAACAAGGCAAGGATGCCTACTCTCACCACTCCTCTTCAACATAGTAGTTGAAGTCCTAGCCAGAGTAATCAGACAAGAGAAAGAAATAAAGGGCGTCCAGATCAGAAAAGTGGAAGTCAAACTGTTGCTGTTTGCTGATGATATGATTGTTTACCTAAAAACCCTAAAGACTGCTCCAGAAAGCTCCTAGAACTGATAAAAGAATTCAGCAAAATTTCTAGATACAAAATTAATGTACACAAATCAGTAGCTCTTCTATACACCAATGGTGACCAAACTGAGAATCAAATCAAGAACTCAACCCTTTTTACAATAGCTGCAAAAAAAAATACTTATGAATATACCTAATCAGGGAGGGGAAAGACCGCTACAAGAAAAACTACAAAACACTGCTGAACTGAAAGAAATCATAGATGACACAAACAAATGGAAACACATCCCATGCTCATGGATGGGTAGAATTAATATTGTGAAAATGACCATACTGCCAAAAGCAATCTACAAATTCAATGCAATTCCCATCAAAATACCATCATCATTCTTCAGAGAATTGGAAAAAACAATCCTAAAATTAATATGGAACCAAAAATGAGCCTGCATAATGAAAGCAAGACTAAGCAAAAAGAGCAAATCTGGAGGCATCACATTACCTGATTTCAAACTATACTATAAGGCCATAGTCACCAAAACAGCATGGCACTGGTATAAAAATATGCACATAGACCAACAGAACAGAATAGAGAACCCAGAAATAAACCCAAGTACTTACAGCCAACTGAGCTTTGACAAAGCAAACAAAAACGTAAAATGGGGGAAAGGACACTCTTTTCAACAAATGGTGCTGGGATAATTGGCTAGCCACAAGCAGGAGAATAAAATTGGATCCTCATCTCTCACCTTATACAAAAATCAACTCAAGATGGATTAAGGACTTAAATCTAAGACCTGAAACTATCAAAATTCTAGAAGATAACTTTGGAAAAACCCTTCTAGTCATTGGTTTAGGCAAGGATTTCATGATCAAGACCCTTCATATTCTAATGGGGAGTTTTAACTATCTTTACTTTGGAAAATAGAAAAAAAAATCATTTCAAAAATCCTTGTAATATTTTTAAGACTTCAGAATTTAGTATGAATAAACATGAAAGGAATCTGAATTGTGTCCCTTTTGATTTTATTTTTAAATTTTAATTCCAAGTACAATCTTCTCCAGCCTGTGGTGTTCAAAAGCACTGCTATAGAATTGTCATTTCAAAAGTGTATCTTCTCCAAGAAAACAGTTTTAACTTATATGCATCTTTTTCTCTCCCCTGAGGAGAATTCTAAGCAATGCCTTCTATACTAAAACTAAATTGATTGCATCCAGATTATCTTGCTGCCCTGCACCATTTTACAGGCTCTGTGATTATCTGCAATTGTGAGCAGAAAATACCATTTTTCTGTGTGCTCCCTCAGGTTTTCACGTAGTTATGATGCTGAGGGTGGTGACCTTGAGTTCTCTTAGTCTACAGCTATTGCCACAATCTCAATGTTTTCTTAACATATTTATTTTGTGTATATACATTTCATATAATATATTATGTTATATATAACATGTTATATGCTGTATAACACATAATTGTTCTACATAAACACATAAAGTAGTATATGTTTACATATATATGTATTGCTAACTTAAAATGTTTGGCTTAGGAAAATGCCATTTCCTCATTGGTGGACCTCCTGCAGAGGGGGTCATGGCAGGCTTGGAGTTATCTCAAATGGTACATTTTTCCAATGTAAGGCCTGAAAATGGGAAAGCTTTTTTTCTTTTAACATGTTGTAAGAATAGAGTTTATTAATCTGATAGTGCTATATTTGAATGCAAGCAACAAAAAAGGTGTTTAAGTGAATTCACCCAGTAGAGGTTATTTTTCACATATAACAAAATATCTAGAGGCAGGAAGTTCAGGGGCTCAATAAAGACACACACACACACACACATACACACTAGAAAACCTTGAATAGGATTCAACTGTTCACCTCAGCTCTGAGAGTGATAAATGCTTTCTGTGTAGTAGCTGTTCTTATGTATGGCTAACCTGGACTTATTGGAGAAGAAAAATTGTAATTTAGCTGGGGGATGATAAGGCTAAGGAAAAGCTATTATAGACATAAAATTCACATTTATCAATAGCTAGAGGAATTAAGGACACAAGAAACTACTTAACTCAATCATTTCTTAGCATTCCCGCTTGTTTGAACATTTTTTAAAAGTCACTCCTTAAAAAGTAAAAAGATATGTTTATCAGACAGAAAGAGGAATATTTAATGGTGCCAAGAGTCTACCCCTAGACATAAGTCTCGAGTACCAGATATTCTCTGTAAAGAGGGAGTGGTTGGTGATAAGTGCAGTTTAAGTGTTACCCCTGGCCAGGCATGGTGGCTCACACCTGTAATCCCAGCACTGTGGGAGGCCTAGACAGGAGAATCCCTTGAGCCTAGGAGTTTGACACCAGCCTGGGCAACATAGTGAGACCCCATATCTACAAAACTGTTATTTTTCAATTAGCTGGGTGTGTGATCGTGTACTTATAGTCCCAGCTTCTTGGGAGGCTGAGGTAGGAGGATCACTTGATCTCAGGAGTTCTAGGCTGCAGTAGCCATGATCATGCCACTGCACTCCAGCCTGGGAGACAGAACAAGATGACATCTCAAAAAAAAAAAGTGTTGCCTCTAAGACATTTTTATTTCTGTGTATCTGGGCTAGTCCATAGATGCTAAAAGGGTAAGCTAGGTGAGGAGATCCCATTTAGTAGAGATCCCCTGCTTATCAGTTCTTCATCCTGCCTCTTCCCTCATTCCATTGCACTTCCAGAAACCAGTCTGTAGCACCTTGGTCCATCTCCTCAAGGTTGTTAGAGCAAATACTTCACATTATATTTTTCTGCTTCATTTATTCTTTATACACATTGATTAGAAGTCAGATTCTAATTATTATTTGCTCACCTATTTATCTTGCTTGTGAGACAATGTTTAGTAACCAGAATCCAAACCATCTTTGCTTTCAGATCAGCAATGTTTTTCTCATTGTGGTGCTTTCAGTCCGTAAGAATGAAACTTTGTTTGCCTTTCCTTATTTCTCAGGAAGAACAAGTCATTAAGATAACTTTAAGAAATTCCTTATGCATTCTTCAGGGGTGATGCTTTTTTAAGGTTTTTGGCATTGATGCTATTGGTAAAATGTACTGGTTTATGTATTAGTTTACGGTTGTCTTTGTTATTCTTGGTATTAGCAAATTAAAATTTGTTGAGGCTGTGTATGTAAGACTGTTACCTTTATTTGTGTTTTCAGTGTGAAGCATATCTGGTCTTATCTAAAAAAAATCCAGACAATATTAAGAAAATCGGACAAGTAATAAAGCTAGTCATTTAGAATTAGCTCGAATAAAGTACACTTTTAAGTCCAGGTTTGGGGGTCCAAACTGCCACCACCATGGAATAGTAAAAAATGCATGGAGGATTCAAAGACCATAGGTTGGGGCTGAGATGCTTGTATTAGCAATGAGAGGCTAACAGAAGAGAATGATAAGATTAACTTAATAAATTCTCACATTTATCTTAAAATCTTCATGTTACTATGAAGTTCTCATAATTATTATTGTAATATATTTTATCTTATACTGATCACATTTCTTTATTATTAAACACTTCCCTTTTATTGTATATTTATTTCTATTTTTTCTGTGATAAATAATGCCTAAATGAACATATTCTTGTAAATAGGTTTTTTTTATTTTATGTATGAGTTTTTCTTTAGAGGACATTTCCAGAAGTCAAAGGGTTCAAATGGTATAAACTTTGTTTTAATCCCTTTAAGTGCATTGCCAAATTCCCATTCAAAAAAGAATTTGCCTCCAGGAAAAAACATAATTTCACCATACCTTGTTTAGCATTGCACTCTATCATTTGTAATGGGTTTTATGTATTTTACATTAGTTGAATCAAAGCAATGGATAAGTAGTAAATGTACTCAAATGGGAAGAGCATCTGCACATTTACGGCTTATTAGATATTTCACAATTAAGAGATTTCATCTGCAAGGCCCTTGTTAAATGTCTGTTTGTTGTTTTCTGTATTCACACGATAGTCAGCTGTGACCTAAGAGGTATTGCTCAATCATTTTGTGATTATGGTTTTCTTTGAAAATCTGATAAAGAGTATCAACAATTTCTTAGAATTATGGACACATTCACAGAGACAACACACACACACATAGAATTAAATATTATTTCAGGAAATTCATGTATTACCTCATGTTTCTTCATTTTAATATCCTTAACAAAGATGATGAGCTACGAGTAGGTTAAGAGTGAAGGAGAGGATAAAAGGAAACACCTCTAGCTCTGAAGTGTCTGCAGAAGATTAGACCAGGCCACGTGGGACTCAGCAGTGGAGATATTAAGATCATTAAATCAGTCTGAGGATTTTTCTGGATTTTCTGGTGGAGGCCAGGGTAACTAGAGAGAAGAGGAGCCACTGAAAATAAACACAGTTCCTCAAATTTAGTCATACTCTGGACTTAACACCAGAGTTAATTGATATGAAGCCATTCTTTGCTATGTCTTTGACTCTCCAGTTTTCAGCCATAGGACAGTGTTTTAAATATAAAGGAGCTAGTTTTAAAGTTGTGGTGCTCACTTTGGAGTATCTGAGAAAGCCGACTAACTTCCTCACTCTTCCCGTGAAGCCCCAGTCCTCCATACAGAAGTCATTATTTGGTGAAAGACATTAAACATCTACATCTACAATAATGAATTATTTGCATACTAATGAGATGATCATCTATTCAATGTTTCCTATTCACACATTTTCTTTTCGCTATTTTTTTTAATCTGCAAAAGTTTTAGAACATTCTAAATAGTTACATGAAGTATTTTCAAGTTAAAAGAAACATATGATGTCATAATAGTTTAGTGAGTGAATCAATCTTATTGTCTGAATGAGAAAAATCCCAGTCTACTATTTGGCTTAATAGCAAATAAAAGATGCTGCTTGAAATAATTGACTGAACATAAAAAAGGAAACTATATTTATGTTTCTGGTGTTTTATTATATAATGTGTAACTACATTCTTCACAACTGTGCTTTAAAACCAATATTATTATTGTATTAAATAGATTTAAGGGATACTTTCTATTTGCTAAAGTCACAATATTATCAAGTCAGTAACTTGACGTAGTGAAATTATTTATATTGTTAACTATTGTTAACATCTTACTTCTAAAGTTGTTGGGGCAAGAACAGAGGAAAATGCATCAGACGTGGGCTGTAGTCAATTGAAAAAGTATTTTACAATCATAGTGTACTATAGATTTGGTGTACAAATAGCTTATGATATTTACTTTTTTTTTTTTTTTTTTTTTTTTTTTTTTTTTTTTTTTTTTTTTTTTGACAGAGTTTCTCTCTGTTGCCCAGGCTGGAGTGCAGTGGCCTGATCTCAGCTCACTGCAACCTCCACCTCCCAGGTTCAAGTGATTCTCCTGCCTCAACCTCCCAAGTAACTGGGACTATAGGCATCTGTCACCATGCCTGGCTAATTTTTGTATTTTTAGTATAGATGGGGTTTCACCATGTTGGCCAGGCTGGTCTCAAAATTCTGGCCTCAAGTGATCCACCTGCCTTGGCCTCCCAAAGTGCTGGGATTACAGGCATGAGCCACTGCACCTGGCCTGATATTTACTTCTTAAGTTCTTCTCAATCACTGCAATACTTAGGTACAACTGTAATAAGATTTTGCATCTGTTTATTCATTCCAAAGTAAATTATTAGCAAACAGAAGAGGAAAGAAGTAGTCCTGTGTACAATTAACAACAATTACTTCAAAAGTGACAAATGGCAACCTGACAAACAGAATAGAGAGTAAAATTAAAAAGCAGAACAGAATTACTAATCCACACAATGCAACCTTTGGATGCTTAAATAATCATGCAAAATCATCAAGAAAATGCGTTTAGTATTCTCATTCTGAGGATGCAACAAAGAGCATAAAATGTTTTATAAACATTTTAATTCAACACAGATAAAATACAAAAAAAATGTGGACACTACAGTGCATATGCCTCAGGTATTTGGAAAATGTCACTTACGTAGAATATCTCAGCATTCCTTATTGATAAGGTACTATTGTATTTATTTTTATTGTATTTATTTATTTTTGTTTTGTTTTGTTTTGGAGACAGAGTCTCACTCTGTCACCCAGGCTGGAGTGCAGTGGTGCCCTCTTGGCTCATTGCAGCCTCTGCCTCCCAGATTCAAGCAATTCTCCTGCCGCAGCCTCCCAAGTAGCTGGGACTACAGGCGCACACCACCATAACTAGCTAATTTTTGTATTTTTTTTTAGTAGAGATGGGTTTTTGCTATGTTGGCCAGGCTGGCCTTGAACTCCTAACCTCAAGCGATCTGCCTGCCTCGGCCTCCCAAAGTGCTAAGATTACAGGAGTCAGCTCCCACACCTGGCTTAAGTACTATTGTATTTAAAACTAAAACTGTGTGTGGTTTTACAAGAAAATTAAAGCTTGGAGAATAATTAGCTAAATATTTGAGCCAATCTTCAATCAATAGAATACAAAGTTGAGGACCTTTCAGTGGAAACCTTACAAGCCAGAAGACATTGAGGGCCAGTATTCAATATTCTTAAAGAAAAGAAATTCCAACCCAGAATTTCATATGTGCCCAAACTAAGCTTCATAAGCAAAAATAATGTCCTTTTCGGACAAGCAAACGCTAAGGGAATTTGCTACAGACCTGCCTTACAAGAGTTCCTGAAGGAAGCACTAAATATGGAAATAAAAGACTGTTACCAGGCACTATAAAAACACACTGATGTACACAGACCAGTGATACGATAAATCAACCACATAAACAAATCTGCAAAATAACCAGTTATCATCATGATGACAGGATCGAATCCACACATACCAAAACTAAACTTAAATATAAATGGGATAAATACCCCAGTTAAAAAACACAGAGTGGCAAACTGGCTAAAGAAACAAGACACATTCGTATGCTGTCTTCAAAAGACCCATCTTACATGCAATGACACACATAGGCTCAAAATAAAGGGATACAGGGAAATCCACCAAGCAAATGTAAAACACAAAAAAGCAAGGATCGCAATTCTAGTTTCTGACAAAACAGACACTAAACCAATGAAGATTAACAAAAAGGCAAAGAAGAGTATTAGGATATTAGCTAAGAAAATTAAAGCTTGGAGAATAATTAGCTAAGTATTTAAGCCAAATATTTGGTTCAATTCAACAAGAAGGTCTGAAATATCCTAAGTACATATGCACCAAACACAGCATAAAGGGTTCAATTCAACAAGAAGATCTGAAATATCCTAAATATATATGCACCAAACACAGGAGCAACATGATTAATAAAGAAAGTTCTTACAGAACTTCAAAGAGACACAATAATAGTGGGAAACTGTAATACCCTTCTGACAATATTGGACAGATCATCAAATAAGAAAGTTAACAAAGATATTCAAGAGCTAAACTCAGCAATGGATCAGATGGGCCAGATAGATATCTACAGAACTTTCCACCAGAAACAACAGAATATAAATTCTTCTCATTGCCATATGGCACTCACTCTAAAATCAATCACACAATCAGAAGTAAAACACTCCTCAGCAAGTGAAATCATAACAGTCTCTTGGACCACAGCACAATCAAATTAGAAATCCAGACTAAGAAATTCACTCATAGCCATAAAATTACATGGAAATAAAATAACCTGCTCCTGAATGACTCTTGGGTAAATAATGAAATTAAGGCAGAAATCAAGGAGTTCTTTAAAACTAATGAGAACAAAGATAAAATGTACCAGAATCTCTGGGACACAGCTAAGGCAGTGGTAAGAAGAAAATTTACAACACTAAAAGCTCACATCAAAAAGTTAGAAAGATCTCAAATTAACAATCTAACATCACATCTGAAAGAATTAGACAAGCAAGAACAGATCAACCTCAAAGTTAGCAGAAGACAAGAAATAACCAAAATTAAAGCAGAACTGAAGGAGATAGAGACACGAAAAATCATTCAAAAGATCAATGAATCCAGGAGCTGGTTTTTTGGAAAAAAAAATAGTAAAATAGATGGACCACTAGCTAGATTAATAAGGAAGGAAAGAGAGAATATTCAAATAAACACAATCAGAAATGATAAGAGGGATATTACCACTGACCACACAGAAAAACGACAATCAGACAATTATGTGTCTTGGAGTTGTTCTTCTCAAGGAGTATCTTTGTGGCGTTCTCTGTATTTCCTGAATTTTAATGTTGGCCTGCCTTGCTAGATTGGGGAAGTTCTCCTGTATAATATCCTGCAGAGTGTTTTCCAACTTGGTTCCATTCTCCTCGTCACTTTCAGGTACACCAATCAGAAGTAGATTTGGTCTTTTCACATAGTCCTATATTTCCTGGAGGCTTTGTTCATTTCTTTTTATCTTTTTTCGCTAAACTTCCCTTCTCGCTTCATTTCATCCATTTGATCTTCCATCACTGATACACTTTCTTCCAGTTGATCGAATCGGCTACAAAGGCATGAAGGAAAAAAGTTAAGGGCAGCCAGAGAGAAAGGTCTGTTTACCCACTGAGGGAAGCCAATCAGACTAACAGTGGATCTCTCGGCAGAAACTCTACAAGTCAGAAGAGAGTAGGGGCCATTATTCAACATTCTTAAAGAAAAGAATTTTCAACCCAGAATTTCATATCCAGCCAAATTAAACTTCAGAAGTGAAGGAGAAATAAAATCCTTTACAGACAAGCAAATGCTGAGAGATTTTGTCACCACCAGGCCTGCCCTACAAGAGCTCCTGAAGGAAGCACTAAACATGGAAAGGAACAACTGGTACCAGCCACTGCAAAAACATGCCAAATTGTAAAGACCATCGAGGCTAGGAAGAAACTGCATCAACTAACGGGCAAAATAACCAGCTAACATCATAATGACAGGATCAGATTCACACATAACAATATTAACCTTAAATGTAAATGGGCTAAATGCTCCAATTAAAAGACACAGACTGGCAAATTGGATAAAGAGTCAAGAGCCATCAGTGTGCTGTGTTCAGGAAACCCATCCCATGTGCAGACACACACATAGGCTCAAAATAAAGGGATGGAGGAAGATCTACCAAGCAAATGGAAAACAAAAAAAGGCAGGGGTTGCAATCCTAGTCTCTGATAAAACAGACTTTAAACCAACAAAGATCAAAAGAGACAAACAAAGCCATTAAATAATGGTAAAGGGATCAATTCAACAAGAAGAGCTAACTATCCTAAATATATATGCACCCAATACAGGAGCACCCAGATTCATAAAGCAAGTCCTCAGAGACCTAGAAAGAGACTTAGACTCCCACACAATAATAATGGGAGACTTTAACACCCCATTGTCAACATTAGATAGATCAACGAGACAGAAAGTTACCAAGGATATCCAGGAATTGAACTCAGCTCTGCACCAAGCGGACCTAATAAACATCTACAGAACTCTCCACCCCAAATCAACAGAATATACATTCTTCTCAGCACTACACCACACTTATTCCAAAATTGACCACATAGTTGGAACTAAAACACTCCTCAGCAAATGTAAAAGAACAGAAATTATAACAAACTGTCTCTCAGACCACAGTGCAATCAAACTAGAACTCAGGATTAAGAAACTCACTCAAAACAGCTCAACTACGTGGAAACTGAACAACCTGCTCCTGAATGACTACTGGATACATAATGAAATGAAGGCAGAAATAAAGATGTTCTTTGAAACCAACAAGAACAAAGATACAACATACCAGAATCTCTGGGACACCTTTAAAGCAGTGTGTAGAGGGAAATTTATAGCACTAAATGCCCACAAGAGAAAGCAGGAAAGATCCAAAATTGACACCCTAACATCACAATTAAAAGAACTAGAAAAGCAAGAGCAAACACATTCCAAAGCTAGCAGAAGGCAAGAAATAACTAAGATCAGAGCAGAACTAAAGGAAATAGAGACACAAAAAGCTTATCAAAAAATCAATGAATCCAGGAGCTGGTTTTTTGAAAAGATCAACAAAATTGATAGACCACTAGCAAGACTAACAAAGAAGAAAAGAGAAAAGAATCAAATAGACCCAATAAAAATGATAAAGGGGATATCACCACCAATCCCACAGAAATACAAACTACCATCAGAGAATACTATGAACACCTCTACGCAAATAAACCAGAAAATCTAGAAGAAATGGATAAATTCCTCAACACATACACCCTCCCAAGACTAAACCAGGAAGAACTTGAATCTCTGAATATACCAATAACAGGCTCTGAAATTGAGGCAATAATTTATAGCTTACCAACCAAAAAAAGTCCAGGACCAGACGGATTCACAGCCAAATTCTACCAGAGGTACGAGGAGGAGCTGGTACCATTCCTTCTGAAACTATTCCAATCAATAGAAAAAGAGGGAATCCTCCCTAACTCATTTTATGAGGCCAGCATCATCCTGATACCAAAGTCTGGCAGAGACACAACCAAAAAAGAGAATTTTAGACCAATATCCTTGATGAACATCGATGCAAAAATCCTCAATAAAATACTGGCAAACTGAATCCAGCAGCACATCAAGAAGCTTATCCACCATGATCAAGTGGGCTTCATCCCTGGGATGCAAGGCTGGTTTAACATACACAAATCAATAAACATATTCCAGCATATAAACAGAACCAATGACAAAAACCATATGATTATCTCAATAGATGCAGAAAAGGCCTTTGACAAAATTCAACAACCCTTCATGCTAAAACCTCTAAATAAATTAGGTATTGATGGGACGTATCTCAAAACAATAAGAGCTATCTATGACAAACCCACAGTCAATATCATACTGAATGGGCAAAAACTGGAAGCATTCCCTTTGAAAACTGGCACAAGACAGGGATGCCCTCTCTCACCACTCCTGTTCCACATAGTGTTGGAAGTTCTGGCCAGGGCAATTAGGCAGGAGAAGGAAATAAAGGGTATTCAATTAGGAAAAGAGGAAGTCAAATTGTCCCTGTTTGCAGATGACATGATTGTATATCTAGAAAACCCCATCATCTCAGCCCAAAGCAACTTCAGCAAAGTCCCAGGATACAAAATCAATGTGCAAAAATCACAAGCATTCTTATACACCAATAACAGACAAACAGAGAGCCAAATTATGAGTGAACTCCCATTCACAATTGCTTCAAAGAGAATACAATACCTAGGAATCCAACTTACAAGGGACGTGAAGGACCTCTTCAAGGAGAACTACAAACCACTGCTCAATGAAATAAAAGAGGATACAAACAAATGGAAGAACATTCCATGCTCATGGGTAGGAAGAATCAATATCGTGAAAATGGCCATACTGGCCAAGGTAATTTATAGATTCAATGCCATCCCCATCAAGCTACCAATGATTTTCTTCACAGAATTGGGAAAAACTACTTTAAAGTTCACATGGAACCAAAAATGAGGCCACATTGTCAAGTCAATCCTAAGCCAAAAGAACAAAGCTGGAGGCATCACACTACCTGACTTCAAACTATACTACAAGGCTACAGTAACCAAAACAGCATGATACTGGTACCAAAACAGAGATATAGACCAATGAAACAGAACAGAGCCCTCAGAAATAATGACGCATATCTACAACTATCTGATCTTTGACAAACCTGAGAAAAACAAGCAATGGGGAAAGGATTCCCTATTTAATAAATGGTGCTGGGAAAACTGGCTAGCCATATGTAGAAAGCTGAAACTGGATCCCTTCCTTACACCTTATACAAAAATTAATTCAAGATGGATTAAAGACTTAAATGTTAGACATAAAACCATAAAAACCCTAGAAGAAAACCTAGGCAATACCATTCAGGACATAGGCATGGGCAAGGACTTCATGTATAAAACACCAAAAGCAATGGCAACAAAAGACAAAATTGACAAATGGGATTTGATTAAACTAAATAGCTTCTGCACAGGAAAAGAAACTACCATCAGACTGAACAGGCAACCTACAGAGTGGGAGAAAATTTTTGCAATCTACTTATCTGACAAAGGGCTAATATCCAGAAACTACAATGAACTCCAAAAAATTTACAAGAAAAAAACAAACAACCCCATCAAAAAGTGGGCGACGGATATGAACAGACACTTTTCAAAAGAAGACATTTATGCAGCCAAAAGACACATGAAAAAATGCTCATCATCACTGGCCATCAGAGAAATGCAAATCAAAACCACAGTGAGATACCATCTCACACCAGTTAGATTGACGATCATTAAAAAGTCAGGAAACAACAGGTGCTGGAGAGGATGTGGAGAAATAGGAACACTTTTACACTGTTGGTGGGACTGTAAACTAGTTCAACCATTGTGGAAGTCGGTGTGGCGATTCCTCAAGGATCTAGAACTAGAAATACCAGTTGACTCAGCAATCCCATTACTGGGTATACACCCAAAGGATTACAAATCATGCTGCTATAAAGACACATGCACATGTATGTTTATTGCGGCACTATTCACAATAGGAAAGACTTGGAACCAACCCAAATGTCCAACAATGATAGACTGGATTAAGAAAATGTGGCACATATACAGCGTGGAATACTATGCAGCCATAAAAAATGATGAGTTCATGTCCTTTGTAGGGACATGGATGAAGCTGGAAACCATCATTCTTAGCAAACTATCGCAAGGACAAAAAACCAAACACCGCATGTTCTCACTCATAGGTGGGAATTGAACAATGAGAACACATGGACACAGGAAGGGGAACATCACACACCAGGGCCTGTTTAGGGGTGGGGGGAGTGGGGAGGGATAGCATTAGGAGATATACCTAATGTTAAATGACGAGTTAATGAGTGCAGCACACCAACATGGCACATGTATACATATGTAACTAACCTGCATGTTGTGTACATGTACCCTAAAATTTAAAGTATATTAAAAAAAAGAAAAACTACAATCAAAGAATATTATGAGCACCTCTATGCACGTAAACTAGCAAATTTAGAAGAAAGTGATAAATTCCTGAATACATACACCCTCCCAAGATTGAAGAAGGAAGAAATTGAATCCCTGAACAGACTAATAGTGAGTTCAGATATTGAGATAGTAATAAATAGCCTACCAACCAAAAAAAAAAGAGAAAAAAGAAGCCCAGGACCACAAGGATTCATAGCTGAATTCTACCAGAGTACAAAGAAAAGCTGGTACCATTCCAGCTGAAACTATTCCAAAAAATTGAGGACGATTCCTCCCTAGCCGATTCTATGAAACCAACATCATCCTGATACCAAAACCTGGCAGAGATACAAAAACAAGGAAAATATCAGGCCAATATCCTTTATGAACATCAGTGCAAAAATACTTAACAAAATACTGGCAACCCAAATTCAGCAGTATATCAAAAAAGCTTATCCACCACAATCAAATAGGCTTCATCTCCAGGATGCAAGGTTGGTTCAACACACAAAAATCAATAAATGTGATTCATCATATAAACAGAACTAACGACAAAACCACATAATTATCTCAATAGATGCAGAAAAGGCCTTCGATAAAATTCAACATTGCTTCATGTTAAAAACTCTCAATAAACTAGCTATTGAAGCAACATACCTCCAAATAATAAAAGCCACAAATGACTAACTCATAGCCAACAGCATACTAAATGGGAAAAAGCTGGAAGGATTCCCCTTGAAAACTAGAAGACAAGGATGCCCTCTCTCACCACTCCTATTCAACATTGTTTTGGAGTTTTGGCCAGGGCAATCAGGCAAGAGAAAGAAATAAAGGGCATTCAAACGGAAAGAGAGGAAGTCAAATTTATCCCTGTTTTGTAGATGACATAATCCTATATCTAAAAAACCCCACAGTCTCAGCCCCAAAGCTTCTTAAGCTGACAAGCAACTTCAGCAAAGTCTCAGGATACAAAGTCAATGTGCAAAAATCACCAGCTTTTCTATACACAAACAACAGGCAAGCCGAGAGCCAAATCAGAAACGAATTCCCATTCACAACTGCCACAAAAAGAATAAAATACCTAGGAATACAACTAACAAGAAAGGTGAAAGATCTCTACAAGGACAACTACAAACCACTTCTTAAAGAAATCAGAGACGACACAAACAAATGGAAAAACATTCCATACTCATGGATAGAAAGAATCAATATCATTAAAATGGCCATACTGCCCAAAACAATTTATAGATTTAATGCTATTCCCAGAAATCTACCATTGATATTCTTCACAGAGATAGAAAAAAAGAACTATTTTAAAATTCATATGGAACCAAAAAGGAACCCGAATAGCCAAGGCAATCTTAAGCAAAAAAGAAAAGCACTGGAGACATCACGCTACCTGACTTCAAACTATCCTACAGGGCTACCGTAACCAAAACACCATGGTACTGGCACAGGAACGGACACATAGAACAATGGAAGAGAATAGAGAAGCCAGAAATAAGAGCACTTACCTACAGCTATCTGATCTTTGACAAACCTGACAAAAACAAGCAATGGGGACATGATTTCATATTTGATAAATGGCATTGGGAGAAGAGGCTAGCCATATGCAGAAGATCGAAACTGGACTCCTTCCTTATGCCATATACAAAAATTCACTCAATATGGATTAAAGACTTAAATTTAGAACCCCAAACTATAAAAACCCTGGAAGACAACCTAGGCAATATCATTCATGATCTAGGCCTGGGCAAAGATTTCATGATGAAGACAACAAAAGTAATTGCAACAAAAGCAAAAATTGACAAATGAGATCTAATTAAACTAAAGAGCTTCTGCACAGCAAAAGAAACTACCAACAAAGGAAACAGCCTACAGAATGGGAGAAAATTTTTGCAAGCTGCATATCTGACAAAGGTCTAAGATCCAGCATCTATAAGGAACTCAAATTTACAAGAAAAAAACTACCCCATCAAAAAGTGGGCAAAAGACAAGAACAGACGCTTTTCAAAAGAAGACATACATACTGCCAGCAGTCATATGAAAGAAAAGCTCAATGTCACTGATCATTAGAGAAATGCAAATCAAAACCACAATGAGATATTATTTCATATCAGTCAGATGGATGCTATAAAAAAGTCAAAAGATAACATGCTGGTGAGGTTGTAGAGAAAAAGAAATGCCTATACACTGTTGAGGGGAGTCTAAATTAGTTCAGCCATTGTGGAAGATAATGTGGTATTTATTCTGAATATTATTTATTGTAAAAAGATTATTTTAACAATATCAAATAAATAAGAGAGAAATTTATCCATTGTCTCATCAGTTTTGCCCCATAATGTGTGTGTGTGTATGCATTATGTAGAGCTGTAGTTGTAGTGGATACATCACATTTTGTAATATTTACTCACCATTCTGACGCATAGATTCTGAAACTCTAATTTAATGTCAGTTTTATATTCTTTTTTTTAAGTTCAGGGGTACAACTACAGGTTTGTTACACAGGTAAACTTGTGTCATGGGGATTTGTTGTATAGATTATTTCATCACACAGATTCAGAGGTATAGTAAGGACTGAAAAGAAGGTTGAAACATTTGGTACACCAAAATTTTTGTAGCGATGACAACATTAAATCTTAGTGAGAGAAACAGAATTCTCAACATTGTCTGAAGTGATATATTTCCTCAATTAGGCCAAAGTATTCACTCCCTCCTGATGCCAAGCCCATTGGTATATAATTTTGCAGTGCTCCCACCAAAGTTGGGGTATAGTTTCCACCCCAGATGCTGGGCTCAGACAAATGAAATATTTGGCCAATATGATACTAGCAGATAGGTTTTAAGCAGTAGCTTGCAACACACTGAAACTGGCCTGGCCCCCTTGAATTTTGTCATTGCTGTGAGAATGACATGTCTGGTCTACCTACTCATCCAAGGAGAATGAGAGGGACATGCAGCAGCCTCAGGAAGATGGATGGTGTGGTGCAGACTATTGTGGTGATGAGCCATACCAGCCACCACAGCTTCCTTACAGACAAACAGATCTGTGGGAATGAATGATTGTTTTCCTTTTTTAAACCACTGAGTTTGGAGGTTTTTACATAACATTGTTGTTAGCTGATTCCATTCATGGGTTGGAAGGTCAGTATTGTAAAAAATGTCAGTTTTCTCCAAAAACCTCTAGTTTCAATACATTACAAGTGAGGGTCCTAACAAGTTTTTGTTTTGTTTGTTTTTGGTTCTTAGAAATTGAAAGAATGATTCTGAAGATTCATAAGGATATGTAAAAGATAAAAATACTCAGAGAAATTTGAAAAAGAAGACACAGAGTAAGAAGACTTATACCATCAGACAATAATGTTGAAGTGATTAAAACAGTAAAAGGCAAAATGACCAACAATACAGAAAGAGGAGCCCAGAAATTGATCCATATATCTATTGTCACCTGACTTAGCAAGGTGTTGGTGAAGTGTGGAGGAAAAGGAATAATCCTTCAACAAATAATGTTGAGACAGTAGGAAAAATATTCACGTGGAAAACAATTACTCTTGACTCCTACATTACCCTGTACAAAAAAATTAATAGATATCAGATGGAAGATCTATATGGGAATAGATACAAACAAAAGCCTTTTAGGGTAAAACATAGAAGCAGCTCTTCATGACCATAAGCAAAGATTTCTTGAACAAGAGAAATGCAAATTAAAATCACATGCAGAAGATTGAAACTGGACTCCTTTATTATACCATATACAAAAATTAACTCAATATGGATTAAAGACTTAAACATAAAACCCCAAACTATAAAAACCCTGGAAGACAACCTAGGCAATATCATTCAAGATCTATGTATGGGCAAAGATTTCATGATGAAGACAAAAAGCACTAATCATCAAAGAATAGAATGATACTACATAAAATTAAGAAGCTCTGTTCATGAAAAGACACATTAACAAGCTGAAAAGACAACCCACAGAGTGTGATGAAATGTTTGCACAACATCTATCCAAAGAGGGACTTGTCTCCAGAAAGCACAGATATTCATAGAAGTCAATTTAAAAAAAAACTCAAAACAGAAAAATGGCATTAGGTTTGAATATAGTTTATAAAGGAGAATATTTAAATAGTCACCTACATATGGAATAAAAATGTGAAAGTGGACAATTAGCACATGAAAATATCTGGCGTTAGTCGTCAGGAAAAGTCAAAACTACTACGAAATTCTGGTACATACTCACAAGAGTGGCTAAGTTACAAGGGCTGACAACATTGAATGTTAGGATGTTGAGCAGCTCAAATCCTTGTATGTTGGTTTAGAAACATAAAACGGTAGCCATGTTACAATCTGTTTAGTGGTTTCTTATGAAGTTAAAACATTTTTACTATGATACAGCCATTTCTTTCCAGGTATATCTAGGATATTTAGGGTATCTTAGACAAATAAAATACTATGTCCAAATATAACTTGTACAAAATGTTCCTAGCAACATAATTCTCAATAGCCCTAAATTGGAAAGCCCAAATGAACATTAGTAAGAGAATGGATAAGCAAAATGTAGTACACTTATGTGATGGACTACTTCTCAGCAATAAAATGGAGTAAATTACCATTAACACACAACAGCAGGATGAATCTCAAAACACATTACAGTGAGTGAGAGAAGGCAGACACATATTGTAGAATTCTGTGTTTATGAAGTTCTAGAACAGTAAAACGTAAACAGCAAAATGGTGATTAAAATAAGAATAGTAGCTACCTCTAGTGGTGGGGGGGATGGGATGGTGTATAATTAGCTGGAATTTTGGAAATATATATATATATATTTTTTTTTTTTTTGAGACAGAGTCTCACTTTGTCGCCCAGGCTGGAGTGCAGTGGCGCGATCTTGGCTAACTGCAACCTCTGCCTCCTGGGTTCAAGTGATTCTCCTGTCTCAACCTCCTGAGTAGCTGGGATTACAGGCACACACCACCATGCCCGGGCTAATTTCTGTATTTTTAGTAGAGATGGGGTTTCGCCATGTTGGCCAGGCTGGTCTTGAACTCCCGACCTCAGATGATCCGCCCACCTCGGCCTCCCAAAGTGTTGGGATTACAGGCGTGAGCCACCACACCCGGCAGGAAATATGTATTTTATACATATTTTAGATATATCCATCAAATACATATCTACCTAATGGCAGAAAACAAGCAGGGTATTGTAGATTATATGAACATATAAATTTATCAAACCTCATTAACAGCAGTGCGCTTCACTCTGTAAAAATTATACCACTGAAAACGGTGAAGAAGTATCTTCTCCAAACAAAAGTGTATGCACATAATCAGACTTATTGTAGATTGGTGTTTTGTTTAAGTACTTTTGAAGTTCCGGTATACCGTTATAGTATTCAATCAGATTTCTTTAAAAATTACTGGGTGCATATCATGTTCCTGATTTTATGCTTAGGCGCTATAAAGAGATATAATACTTAATTTATTAAAAATAGGAGTTATAGCATAGTTAGAGAAGACTTAACACCAAAGAGAAAATTTAGAGAAAAAGTAATAGTAGTACTACACTAAACATGTTGGACATTGTGATTTATAGTCATTAGGGGAAGCATTCTCCAAAGATATGGCATTTTCTTGAGCTTCAAGAGAGCTTTTTTGTCAATATATGTGGAGAAGTTACAGGACTTTCTTAGCTGGTACAATTAATAGCAGATAGAAAAAGATAGTATTGAAATTTTATGCTTCATAATTTAACCCTTGGAAATAACTAAGGAAAATATAAATTTTAAACAGATATATAAAATTATATACACACACACACACACATATATATATATATACACACATATTCTTAAATTCCAGGAAAAAAAACCAAATAATTATTTAAAATTAATTGAGTGATGGATTACACTTTCCCAGGAATTGTTAGAATTTGTTAAAGTTGCTTCAAATTTAAAATGTCTGCATTTACACAAACTAAATTAACAATATTTTTGATCTCTAATTATTTTAGATAAGTAAATATATTAACTAGTATTTTTATATAATATCATATATCCAAATAGACATATCCCATGTCCAAATAATGAATTATAGGTAGAGACAACATTCAGAATAAGAAAATATGGGGAATGATTGCAAAAAGATAGTGAAGAGTAGGTAACAAGAGAGCAGGTAGAGCTTTGAGAAATAAGATATCCATGAGAAATAAATAGGTACTGGTCTTTAAGAAAATTTCTAATATTCAATTTTAAATTATTGTCTGTACTTTGCTAAGCCTTAATCCATGACTTCAGTAAATGTCTTGTATAATACAAAAAATTGTATTAGGAGAGGAAAAGTGTTCTGCCAACCGAAGCAGGGCATTGGAGATAGAGATGACCCAGAAAAATATAATTTAAGCCCATCCCCTCCAAGCTTCCTTGAAAATATTAGGAAGAGATGGTAATATCCCAAGTACTTAGTACAGGTACTCAATCATGTTTAATTGTATCAAAGAAACAGTCTTAACCCTAAAGCTGGAAAACGAGACTTTTCAGGAGGTCAAAAAGAGTTAAACATATGAAACAGATATCCAAACGGTTTGACAAATAGTCTACATACAGTCTGAGGATTTTCAGTAACCTCAGTCACTCCCAAAATATCCTCTTCATACCATAAATGAGCTAAAGAAGTTTTACATAATATTCTGAATTTCTCTGAATGGAATGAATATTCTGAGTTCCTGTGGTTAAAGCACTAATGTTTCCTTGCAGGTCACAAATGCACTACTGATAAATGTAACCAGCTCATTATTGAACAAGCTGGTTTCCAGGGTGTGCACAGTGGCAGCTTTTCTTTTCTCATATTAAAAGATATCAGTCTCTACGTTCACAGGCAAGAAGAAGAATAAGCAATGCACTTCCTATTTCTAAAATTCCCCTTGAAGTATATTTTTCCATTCCTGGTCTTCTTGTACAGAGCATGCAGGGGTTCTCATTGTTGGAATGATTTTTCTATTTTTTAGTAAATTTATACTTTTCTTTACAATGTGTAAATACTTTGGCTGAAATCCTAAATCAAAGGAAAATTTTTATCCAACATTATGGTACATATACATATGACTAAGACTTAAAATTCCCAAACCTAGGTTTATGGTCATCTCTAAAGAATTCTGCTCTCAGAATAATTTAAAATATTTTAATGACTCTGGGATGTACTGTACATACAAGGGGTATGAATTTACCAGCTATATACCTACATATACAATAAATATATAGCATTTTTCTAATTTCCCAAAACCGAATTTACTCTTAAGATTCTATCTACTTAATAGCAGAAAACAATTTTTGTCATTTCCAAGTTAACATTGTCATTTCAATTATCAATTCAGTTAAATCAGTGTTTTTCTCCACTTCTTTCTCTTCCGTATGTATCATCTATGTTCCCAATAGGTTGGGGCTTCTTATATATAGTCTTGGCATTAAAGATAGATGATCACTGTTTTTACAATGAAATGTTGAATGCCTCATGTAATTTACTGAATACACTACACTGTAGAATATCAGCTGTTTACCTTCGTGACCATGGGACTGACTTGGAGCTGTTGCTCACTGCCACTGCCCAGCGTTGCAAGAGAGTATTATGCTGCATATCACTAGTCCAAGAAATGCTCAAGATTTAAAATTCAATGTATGGATTCTACCAAATGTGTACTGCTTTCACACTATTATAACATCAAAAAAATTTAAGTCAAAACATCCTAAGTAGAGGACTGTTTGTACAAGCATCTAATACTTTTAATACTTCTTAAATTCTACTATGAAGGCTTGTTCAGGCTCTCACGCTCTCTCTCTCTCTCTCTCTCCCTCTCATGCACACACACACACATACACACACACACTTACTTTCTGGAAGGTCTCTATTTGTTCCAAATTTTCTGCTTTACAGGAGATGAAAGCATCCAAATAGGAAAAGAGGAAGTTAAATGATCTCTTTTTGTTAATAGTATAATTCTTTACCTAGAAATTCCTTAAGTCTCCACCAAAAGTCTCCTGGAACTGACAGACAACTTCAATAAAGTTTCAGGATACAAAATCAATGTACAAAAATCAGTAGCATTTCTGTATATTAATAGCAATACATTCAAGCTGAGAGCCAAATCAAGAACACAGTCCCATTTACAATAAAAACACACAAAAATACCTAAGAATACATCTTACCCTACAAAAAGAACACAAGACACTGCTGTAAGAAATCAGAGACAACACAATCAAATGGAAAAACATTCCATGCTCATGGATGGGAAGAATCAATATCATTAAAATGTTCATCCTTCTTAAAGTAATCTACAGTTTCATTTCTATTTCCATTAAATCACCAAGTCATTATGCACAGAATTAGAAAAAGCTATTCCAACATTCATGTGAAACCAAAAAAGAGCCCAAATTGCCAAAGCAATCCTAAGAAAAAAGAACAAAGCCAGAGATATCACATTATCTGACTATACTACAAGCCTACAACAACCAAAACAGCATGGTACTGGTAGAAGAATAGCCACATAAATCAATGGAACAGAATAAAAGAAAATCAAGCTATACACCTACAACCAACTGAACTTTGACAAAGTTGACAAAAATAAGCAATGGAGAAGCAATGTAAATTGAAATTCTCTATTCAATAAATGGTGCTAGAAAAACTGGCTTACTATATATAAAGAATGAAACTGGGCCCCTAACTCTCACCATATACAAAAATTACCTCAAGATAAATTAAAGATTCAAATGTAATACCTCAAGCTATAAAAATCCTAGAACGAAACCTAGGAAATACTCTTCTGGACAAATAATTTATGACTAAGTCTTCAAAATTAATTTCAACTAAACCACAAATTGAAAATTGCAATCTAATTAAACTAAAGAGCTTCTGCACAGCAAACGAAACTATCAAAAGAGTAAACAGACAACCCACAGAATGGCAGAAAATATCTACAAATTATGCATCCAACAAATAACTAATATCTATAATCTATATGGAAATTAAATGAATAAGAAAAAACACAGATAATCTCATTAAGAAGAGGGAAAAGGACATAAACAGACACTTCTCAAAAGGAGACATACAAGTGACTAAGAATCATATAAGAAAAAATGCTCAACATAGTTCAACATAACTAATCACCTTGCTTGATCTGCCAATTTTACTTTTTTTCCCAAACATATCATTCCCTTCTCATTGTTTTGTTCTTATTTTGATTGATTCTGTAGGACCCAGGCTGTTTTGGTGTTCTTGTTCTCTCACTGGCTATTGTTCCTGAATCTGTTTGGATATTCCTCTGTACTTTGTCAACCTCTGTACATAAAGCTTCCCAACGCTCAGTTTTGGAACTCTTCTCTGTCTATATTTATTCTCTAGGTCAGTGGTTCTTATGAACTGAATTGGGTCCCCCCAGAATCCATATGTTGAAGCCCTAACTCCTGATGTGATGGTGTTTGGAGATGGACAGCCTTTAGGGAAGTAATTACGATTAAATGAGGTCACAAGAGTAGGATTTTAACCCGATAGCGCTAGTGTTCTTATAAAATGAGGAAGAGGTATCAGAGAGTTCTCTCTCTTTCTGGGCACAGAGAAAAGGCCATGTGGAGACACAGCAAGAAGGTGGCCATCTATAAACTAGGAAGAAAGGCCTCCCCTGAAACCAACCATGCTGGCAGTTTGATCTCAGACTTCTAGCTTCCAGAACTGTGAGAAAATAAATTTCTGTTATTTAAGCTATCAAGTCTGTGGTATTTTGTTATGGCAGCCAAAGCTGACTGCCTACAGTACATCATTCAGTATTACCTGGAAGACATGCAGAAGGTAAAATATGGGGATCCACCTCTGCAGTTGCTGATTCAGTAGGCCTAAATGTAGGGCCCAAAAACTTGCCTTTGTAACAAATTCCCAAGTGATGATGATGCTGCTGGTTCTGGCACCACACTTTAAGACTCAGTGCTCTAGGTGATTTCGTCCAGACCATGGCTTCAAATACCAACTGTGATGGTTGCTTTCACATGTCAACTTGACTGGGCCATGGGATGACTAGATATCTGGTTAAACCTTGTTTCTGGGTTTATCTGTAAGGATATTTCTGGAAGGGATTAACATTTGAATTGGTGGACTGAGTAAAGGAGATTTTTCTCCCCAATATGGGTGGACATCATCTAACACATTAGGGCCTAAATAGAACAAAAAAGTGGAAGATTAATTATCTCTCTCTCTGCCTAACTGCTTGAGCTGTTACATCAGTTGTTTCCTGACCTTGCACTGGAACTTAAACATTGGTGTTCCTGGTTCTTAAGACTTCAGTCACAGACTGGAATTTACGCTTGGCTTTCCTGGGCCTTTAACTTGAAGGGAGCAGATTGTGGTGCTTCTCAGTCTCTTTAATTGTGTAGGCCAATTTCTTGTAATAAATTTTATTTAAGAAATGGGTGGGGTGGACTGAGGCAGAGATGATAGAGACAGACAGAGAGAGACAAAGAGAGAGATACACAGATATAGAATAGAAAATTATACATATATTATGTATACTATGTATACATATATATGTATTATGTATAATTATACATAAATTATACATAAATTATACATATATATGTATACATATATATTATGTATGTATTATATGTTTGTAATAATATAAATATATATATATATATATATGTATTTCTCCTACTGATTCTGTTTCTTTGGAGACCCTTGACTAATAAACTAAGGACATATGCAGGTCTCTAAATTGTATTAGGTTGGAGCAAAAGTAATTGTAGTTTTAATACATCTGAAGACCAGAACTTTCTCCTGAAGTCCAGACTTGTATCCAACAGCCTAATTGACCACTCTGCTTAAATGTGCAGAATTTATCTCAAGTTTAATTGTTCTAAACTGAGCTTAGGATATTCCCCTCAAATTTGTACTTCTAGCAACAATACCATTTTGGCAAATGACAGTTCCATTCTTCTAATGCCAAAACTAAAAACCTTGAAGACATACCCAAGTCTGCTATTTATCTTATACCACACATTTAATCCAGTTGTAAGTTTCATCAGTGATTTCCTCAACCTACTTTCACATTTTGATGATTTTTTGCTACTCTTGGTGCTACCTTTCATGTCCAAAGCACCATCATCTTTCTTGTTGATTACTACAATAGCTTTCAAAGTGGATTTCTTCCATCAGCCCTTGTTATTCCTGTCTCACCCCAGTCTATTATTCACAATATGCAGAGGAATTATTTAAAAATATAAGTCAAATTATGCTACTCCAAGATCCTGTGATTATTTCTCTCTCTCTCAAAGTCCTTACAATGGTCCCAGAGCACACACAATCCCATGGCCTAACAATTTCTTCTGCAATTGGAAACATTCACTCACTCAGTCCTACTCACAGTGGAACTTTTGGTTTTTGAATATGTCAGTTTTATGCCCTTCCCTTTACTTGCTTTTCCTCATGCCAAGTACTTTTTGCCAACTAAAACATCATATATTTGATGACTTTATTTTTGTTTCACTGAAGTAGAATGAAAGTTCCATGACAGAAGAATTGTGTAATCTGTTTTGCTCACCTCTATATTCCCGGAGTTCAAAATAGTAGATGCACATAATAGGTCCTCAATAAATATTTGTCGAATTAAAAAACAAGTAACATATAAAACAAATTTAAAAAGTGAAATCAGGTATACAATAGGAATTTTCTTCTCTTCTTTAAAAGGCAGTGTAGCAAAATGACGAGGAGCATGAACTTAAGAGTCTGATTGTCTGGGTTTGCATCCTGGCTCTGTGACTGATTTGACCTTGGGTAAATTACTTAATAGTTTGGGCCTCAATAGACTCAACTATAAAGTGGAGACCACAATATGCCTACCTCACAAAACCACAATGAGTATTAAAATATATTAATATGTATATAAACTCCTTAAATTCGTTCCTGGAACAAAATAAATTCTACTTCAACAAGTTCCTGGAACAACAAGTTCTTATTGTCCTTCAGAAGCAGACTTGCTGAATCAAAATTATTTAATGAAGACTTTGCCCTTTCCTGGAGTAGAAAATGGAGTGGCCATTAAGGTTGGCATAGCATACCTTTGTTCCAGTGGTAACTCTGACCATTAGAAAATGACATTTCTTTGCTCAATACTACAGCCCATGGGCTCCAAGAGCAGGATGAAAACCTGGCTAATTAACACAACGTTTATTTTCTCTGTAGGTGTTTACACTGTACTGTGATTGGAATGCTGCTTTCTCTTCTTGGGAGATATACTAAATGTAGTAAGGGAACTGGCAGATGTAGAAATCAGTATGGTGGGTGATGGTATAAGGAAATCTCAGTTTTATACCCTGCTCCATGAGGATATAAAACTTGTATCAAGCTCAGTGTTTTCCCAACCTAGCTATAAATTACATGTTCCTCATTTTGTCTGAGACCATAACAACTTTAATGTCCATGTTCTTACAAACAGTCTCCTCAAGGCAATCTAGGCTTCTTCTAGTATGAACCTCAAAACCCTTCCAGCCTCAGCTGGACGTGGTGCCTCACACCTGCAATCCCAGCACTTTGGGAGGCTAAGGCAGGTGGATTGCTTGAGGTCAGAAGTTCAAGACCAGTCTGGCCAACATGGCAAAACCCTATCTCTGCTAAAAAATACAAAAAATAGCCAGGCTTGGTGGCACACACCTGTACTCCCAGCTACTCGGGAGGCTGAGGCAGGAGAATCGCTTGAAACTGGGAGGCAGGGGTTGCAGTGAGCCAAGATCACGCCACTGCACTCCAGCCTGGGTTAACAGAGCAAGACTCTATCTCAAAAAAAAAACAACAACAAAAAAACAAAAAAACCCCCACTGCTTTTAGCCTCTACCAACTACAAAGTTAAAAAGCCACTACCACATTTTTAGTTATTTGTTATAGTTAGCATCCCACTTCATGGTGCCAAAATTGTTATCAGTCAGGATTCTGCCCAGAAACAGAATAAGATAGGTATGTACATAGAAAGAGATTTATTTTAAGAAATTTGCTCTTGTGATTATAGAGGTTGGAATGTTCACAGTGGGCAAGGTATGCCAGCAGTCTGGAGACTTGGAAAGAGCTGATATTGCAGTTCAAGTTCAAAGGCCATCTGCTGCAGAATTTCCTCTTGCTTAAAGGAGGTGAGTCTTTTGTTCTATTCAGGGTTTTAAATGATTGGATGAGGCTCACCCACATTATGGAGGCCAGTGTATTTTACTCAAAGTAAGCTAATTTAAATGTTGATCTCATCCATAAACCCATCACAGAAACATCCTGTATAATCTTTGCCCAAATATCTGGGCGCCATGCTCAGACAAGTTGACACATAAAATTAGCCATCACCATGTAGCAATATTTATACCAAAATAAAGAAAAAATACTAGTGATTCTTAACAATCTTTTTTTCTGCAACTGATCATGGGGTTGTAGTTGGTGTTTAAAACCATGTTTTCCCGATATTGATGACGCCAATCAAATAAAAGTCTTTGGGGTGAAGACAGAGAGTGCTGAATAATAGGTATTCTAAATTTTTTCTCCATGTTATTCCGGTGTATAACTAGGTTTGAGAACCACTACTTGAGAAAAGACATGGCAGAGCTATTAACTGCTGCCACTGACTTTCAATTCTACTTAGTTTTGGGGGATCATGGAAAAAATATTTAGAAATACTTCCCTGAAGTAGAAGGGGTGTTTTGTATTATTGCAGGAAATAGAGAGGGTATGACATTTTGAATAGAGCTACTTGAAAACACAGATATTGAATAAAGATAGGGGGCAGGACACTTGAACCCAAAACTTGGAATAAAGGAGATGCCCACTGGGAGCCCCTCTCCTTGGGAACAGTCTTCTGAGACCCAAGAGATTGTTCAGATGGCAGAATACTTAAGAACCTCCCTCCTAGAAGCAGTCATTGTTTGAAATTATTATTTCTTCAGTCAAAAATTCGCGTGTGCCTTCACAGTTACTGTAAATTCTGTCAGGGGATAGGGTACTAAGTTTAATCCAAACACATTCCAAATTCCAAGAAATCAGAGGTTCCAGGAAGTGTGTAGACTTTGCTTTGAAACTTTTTTTGATGATTGGGAGAATCAGAAGTCCTTGAGAAAGATCCATGAAGATAGGAGTGAGCTCATTTTTTTGAGAAAGAGAGAAAGGAGAAATAGAATAAAAGTAGTAATTCCAAGCCTCTCTATTACTCCAATCTGGGTTACAGATATTGTCTCTTGGAAGAGGGGGAGGAAAGGGCTCTATGAATACGTGTTACATACATTTCAAATTAGTTCAAAATGCTTTTGTCCATAAATATTAAAAAAATCAGACTTTAATTTTCAAATTAAGTCAAAAAGGCATATATCCCGTGCATTTTGTGAGGTTGGTTTAACTTTACACATTTCTTGATTTTTTAATAGAATTAACTTCATGCATTGAACACTATCACCATAATGAATCAAGCTGATGCACTGTTTTCAATGGGTTGATAATTCCAAAAGTACTTTCCATAGAATGGGCAAGCAAAGTACATATCTTTCCCTTCTTTCCCTCTATCTCTTTTTATTAAAAGAAATCTGAACCATATTTCATTCAAAAGTTGTATTATTTCCATAAGAGGTCTTTAGGGAAGACATGCCTAGCAATTAAGATGCACTTAACTTACACCTATAGTTTTTCATATAAAAATCCCGTCAGTAAACATGCATGGCTTTCTTATCTTTATCATTCAAAAACTAAGTCTATACATATCCAAAGGCATCTTGAAATCACCCTTTTCCTTCAACACTCAAAAACACTTTTTATTGTTGGGTTTTGTCTTTAATTTGTAATTAACTAGGAAAGGGAAAATGCTCTATATGTGTTAAAGGTTTTCATGATGGGTTTTAACACCATCTATCAAATTAAATTTTGGAAGAAGTTATTTTTCTCCATAATGATTTTCCATTGTGCTTAGTTATTTTAATTTATTTGGAAATAAATTTATTAAGCTGTCTTGAAAAAAACTGTGTTTATGTGTGTGTGTGTGTGTGTGTGTGTGTGTGTGTCAAATCATTCTCTTGTTCAGGTATTCATGGGAGGGTTTTGTTCAGCAGCAATGAGATTATTAATAGCACCCTGTGATCCCTGTCCCACAGCCATGGTAACCATCTGATGGTGCCACTCTTGGGCATGGGGGATTATTATGTGATTATAAAGCTCCAGTTGCTTCAATAAGAAAGACTAATTCTAGACATCAGTTTATCACTCACCTGTCAGCCATTATGTGATGCTCACTTCAGTATTGCAATTTCTGATAGATGTAAATATCCTCTGGAAATCTTTATCTCTTTTCTTCATTCTTTGATAAAGGCTCTTCACATTTTTGCATTGGATTAATATGTCACCATTCTCATTAATATTTTAGTGTCCATTTTATTAAGTTTTCATAACTTTCATTTCAGTTCCAGTGTTATTGGAGTTGTTTGAGGAACTATAAAAGATAAATTTGATCTAGACAAAACAGAGTTTTAGTCCTTTTTCAATAAAATATGTATGTACTCTAAAAGCCCATATTGATAGCTTTTTATACTCCTCCACTTTAGGAAGTTAAGATTAACTGATACATTCCTTGTGTATGGTTCAATACATTAAAAAGCTTCTGAATTTAATTTATAGGCAAATTTGGAAGACAAAACTTTTTACCCAGGGAATCTCTAAGATCATTACCTTACCAAGCAAAAATAATACCAATTTAGGGTATCTGAGCATTTCAACTCTTCAAACAAATATACATTTTCCGTGTTTCCATGGTACTGACAATGCTATCATTTGTGATTAAGTCCTTTGATTATTTCCTTTCTATGCCATGCATTTTCAAAGACGATTTATGATAGGTGAAGAGCAAATTAATAATCTTCTTAGAGATCATATGTTTCATAAGATACTGTACCCTGATAACTCGAGACATGCTAGGTTGACGGTAATCTTTAACGCTCAAAAAGAAAAACAGGATTGAAAGGAGAAGACCGACCATTTTGCATTCAAAGTTTTTTGTCATGAAAATATTGCCAAAACTTGGCCTTTTCCTTGGTGGTATTTTATCCTTAATGGCTTGTAAAAATACCTTCTTATAAACAATGCAGCTGACTTCATAGTTTTCCAGGTTCAGCGTAAACATAGTCTGTTGGGGAAAGATGGCTTGGCAATCTTGGAAATGCAAATGGTGACAGCAGGATAACGCTGCCAATTTTCTGGTGGATGCAGAATAAATGTGAGCATTAAAAAGATAAGATTTAAGCCAAACACATTAGTTCTGGGCCAACTTTCTCTAAGTTGTTACAATGCATACAAATTTTTCTGTTTAAGGCACATTTTGTTTTGTACATTGCCATGTTGTTTTAATCCCAGAACACAGTGCACACTCTTGGCAGACTCACATTCACCTTGATGTGATCTACAGAATTGCATGCTTGTCTATGTTTGAAAAGAAACTCTATTTTTAGCCGTTTTCAAAGATACTGATGTGTTCTACGCAGTAGTTAGTATCCGAGGGTATTATTGCGGTAACTTAGGCTAAGGTAATAATAATAAATTATTATCTCTAGGAGACTAAACCAAGAAGAAAGGATAAATTGAAGGGAAGAACAGCACATAAGAGATGCATGGGCTATAGAAATTGTGATTCTAAAACATAAGGTGGGGAAGGGCATAGTAAAGAGGTGATCCTGTAATAAGAATGCAGAGAGAGTCATCAGGAAACAGACTGGAAATACAGTTCTATAATCTGGAAAGCAAAATACTATCTTTACCATGGGAACCTCCAAGAGCATCACCTTACCAAACAAGCAAAATAACATCAATTTAGGGCATCTGGTAGTTTGAGATCATTAAAATAAAACCCTACCATTTTTCTTTTTTCATTTCAATATGGAAGTAAAATTGTACAACTCTTGTAACCCTTCATTGCCGTGACATATTGGTAATTAACACAATTCGGGAGTGTGGTGAGAGGTCCTTGGGGCAGGGAAAGCAGGCATTCATTCTAGTGAATTGACAAGTCAATCAATAATGCAAGAATTCAGATTTTTCATGTAGTATTCTGCCTTATCAGTATGATTTAGGAGGAAACTGTTAATTCTTGTTACCTTTTTTGATTTTGTGAATCAGAACATCACCAGGTACTACAGGTTGAGTTCCCTGGTAAACATTCTTTGATGGAGGTTAGCTGTGGAAAGGTTATTCTGGAGGCTCTTGGGATGAAAACCTGGAAGGTTGCAGGATTAGGCAAAGGAAGAAGTGAAATCTGAAGTTTTAACAGGAGCCTCAGCCAAACCATAGGGTGTTCTGAAGCTAAGGTAAGCCTTCAGAGTTTACTTGAATTGACGTCAGAGGGCCCAGACTTTATGCCTTCCCCTCAATCACTTATTGGATGCAGGCTGTCCTGGGAAGGAGGGCAAAACGCGAACAAGGTGAATCTTCTCAGCTGAGGAAATCCCATAGCGACTGTCCCCTGAAGGCTGTTGTTGGTAGCACTCTCAGCAGGCAGGATGTGATGGGGAGTTAAATCATTTATTCCTAAAGAGGATTCTGCATGGCACATCAAATCATCTGCCAAATCCAGAAAATAAAAAGTTATTAAGAAATAAGTTCATGAAAGAGTGAATTTATCACACAAGTTCTCTTACAATAATTTCAATCTTATTTAAATATGTAAAATACCTTATTTAATATTGCTTTAGCTTGAAATGATGTTAGGAGGCAATAACAGTATGAATTTGACTGCAAGTAACAAAGCACCCAACTCGAACTGACTCAAACATTAAGGAAATATGTTGACTTCACATAACTGGAAATGTAGAGTGGGGTTCAGAACTAATTTAGCTTAATGGCCCCATTCCATTTCTCTGTGCTTCCCTTAGCTTGATCCTTTGTGATGAGGCAGTTGTTTACGAATCTCCATAGCAGTCTTGGCCTCAAATCTACCATAAATTTATGCATTTGAGACTGTCTCTTATTGCAGCATATGGTCCACGGTAAGAAGTTGGGGTTTAAATTTTATGCTCAGTGCACTGAGAGCCATCAGAGAGTTTTTCTTTTCTTTTCTTTTCTTTTTTTTTTTGAGACAGTGTCTTGCACTGTTGCCCAGGCTGGAGTGCAGTGGTGCGATCTCAGCTCACTGCAGTCTCTGTCTCCCGGGTTCAAGTGATTCTCCTGCCTCAGCCTCCTGAGTAGCTGGGATTATAGGTGCCTGCCACCATACCCAGCTAAATTTTTTGTGTATTTTTTGTAGAGATGGGGTTTCACTATGTTGTCCAGGCTGGTCTCGAACTCCTGACCTTGTGATTCACCTGCCTTGGCCTCCCAAAGTGCTGGGATTGCAGGCGTGAGCCACTGCACCCCACCTAGTTTTTCTTTTAAACTAAAATTTATTTAAGTAAACATATTAGTTTTATAACTAGGTAAGTTCAGTTTTTAGTACACTGTTATGAATTGTAAGCTTCAAATGTCTCCAAATGTGAGACAGCCATGTAAAACTCATCACTGTTCATATTGCTGTATCAGGAATTTGTTAAATGTTAACAAATGGCATACTTACACTCTCTAGAAACAGAAGACAAGGAAACAATTTACTCATAAAATTCACTTCTAAATAAACTATACTTATAGAAAACTATCTTATGAATTACAATTCTGGTTGCACTTCCATTTGAACAATTGTATAGTCGCTTAACTCTAGCAGCAAAACCAAATGAGAAAATTCATGCTTTAGAATAGAGACAAAAATCTGTGGATATAGGGAAGAGGCCTTTTATAGCAAGAACAAAAATGCTATATATAAACCAGATAGAAATCAAATAAAATGCAAATAATTTACAAATAAGATTTAAATTTGTGTGCTGTAGATTTATTTTTAAAACTATTCTGATGTATAATACTATGTTGCTTCCATTTCAGCTGTTATATAATTACTTAAATAACAGCAATAACACCATAACAGAAAAAGTTCAAAATTATTTTAGAAGACAAAAAGAATTTGTATTAGTCCATTCTCACATTGCTATAAGAAACTACCTGAGACTGGGTAATTTATGAAGAAAAGAGGTTTAATTGGCTCACGATTCTTCAGGCTGTACAGGAAACTTGGCTGGGGAGGCCTCATGAAACTTACAATCATGGCATAAGGGAAAGAGGAAGCAGACACATATTCACATGGTGGAGCAGGAGAGGAAGAGAGAGTGTGTGTAGGGGGAAGTGCTACACACTTTTAAACAACCAGAACTCATTGAGTTCACTCACTATAACGAGATCAGCAAGGGAGAATCTATCGCCACGACCCAATCATGGCCCACCAGGCCCTTCCTCCAACATTGAGGATTACATTTCGACATGAAATTTGGGTGGGGACACAGAACCAAAACATATACGAATTCTTGCTGTGTTTGTATATTTTTTATACAACATATTGTATATTTTACATTATACAACATGTTGTATATTTTGTTAACAACATAAATATTGTAAATACACAAAATGTACATGGAATTAAATGAAAGTAATTAAACCATAGCTTCACAATGAAACAATCCACAGTTACAAAAATCATCTTACGAATTATAATTTTGTCAGTCTTCCATTTGAGTAAATGGTACTTTAAAAAAAGCAATAGAGTGAAATGAAAAGAGAAAAAATCAAACTAACTTTAGTACAGAAGCAAAAAAAAAGCATGTCGGTATGGTTTTGGGAGTAAGCTCATTAGAAGGAGGGATAAACAGGGAAAGTGACTCATGTCTGTTGCAGATTGTGTGACTACAAAACCAAATGCAGCCCTTTGTATTTGCTCTGTAGCAATATTTCTTGTTGTCAGTGAGGAAGTGATAGGCTAGGGAAGTCCCTTGTAGAGGATTCCAGGGAAGGTTTGTCCTTGCCATCTAGAAGAGGGAAGACAGGAGTCCTCTTGTCAGGGACCCCTCTGTAACATACAACGTCTGACACCAGAATATGTAAAGAACCAAAGCCTGGGCAGTGACTCCCCATTATTATGGGATAACTGAGTTAAAAGGAGACCCCAAGGGTTTTCCAGTGCCAGGAGCATCAGGACAAGCTCTGTTTCATGCAGGACTCACTACATCAGGATGGAGTTGTCCTAATGGCAGGGTCATCTCCCAGGGTCATAACGCCATTGGGTAGCATCCGTGTGTTGGACACCAAACCCTGGATCCCCACACAGCCTGATTTCACTTCTTCCTCAAGAATCTGTGCATCTGGAGGTTACCTCGTGATCTTCTCAAGCTTCTGCCGAATGTCACACTTTGAACATCTAGGACATAACTGAGTCATAAGAATACACTTTGAACCATTCATATTTAAATTTTTCCTCAATTAATACTTGTCTTCAGTTTGCTTTTTTTAAAAAAATTATCAAAGATTCTTGCAGCACTCTCAACCTTTTACTGTGAGCTTTTCTTTCATAGGAAACAAGCCGACATTGATAATTGCCAGTGATTATTTTCAATTTTTTAGAAAAGTATTGACTTATATTTTATAAGTATTCAACTCTTCAGATGTGTGGCTAATAAACTGCTTTGGAGATTTTCTGTTTTTCTGGAAAATTTCCTCTAAATTAAATATTTGGTGAAAATTTATTTTCTTTTCTTAATGTGGTTCAGACTGGGCATTTTTCCTGGTACTTTTCTTCTCATTTTCTAATTTTTTTTTTCTGAGTGTAGAAAAGTTTTCTTACTTTGGAAACTTTACTATGACCTCAGAGTGCACCACTTATGTTATCTTTCAGCTGATTTGGTGTATATTTGGTTTAACTTTAAGAGTTTTTAAGCAAGTATATTTGTTTCCTGTTGCTGGTATAAGGAATTACCACGGTTTCTTAGTTTAGTAGGTTAAAACAACTCAAATTTATTATCTTGACATTTTAAATATAAGAAGTCTGAAATCAGTTTCATTAGGCTAAAATAAACATAGCAGGGCTACATTCCCGCTGGAGGCCCTAGGGGAGAATTCATTTCTTGTTTTTTTGTGTGTGTTTTTTTCTCAGCTTTTAGAGGCTGCCTACATTTCTTAGCTTGTGACCACATCACTAACTTCTGCTTCTGTGATCACATTTTCTTCTGATTCTGACCTTCCTGCCTTGCTCTTATAAAAGCCCTTGTGATTACTTTAGGCTCATCCAAAATGATCCAAGATAATCTCTCTATCTGAAGATCCTTAACTTAATCACATCTGTAAAGTCCCCTTTTCTGTGTAAGGTAAGGTAGTCACAGGTTCTGGGATCAGGATCTTTGAGGAAATGTTAATATTCGGTAACTATTTTACTCAGTCTAATCAGTTTCTTCAAAACATCTTCTAACAGGTGTCTACATTCTGATGCATTTGTTGTATTGGATTCCATGTTCCAAATCATTATGTCTTCTTCGAAAACAGCATGTGTTCACTCAGAGACTTAATCTGGCTTTGTCTTTTAGAACTTGTTCTGTACAACTTTAAGTTCACTCATTGTTATTTTCCATCCTTCTGCTTCTTGTGAAAGCAGTGTTATCTTTCTCTGAGGATGAGAATTTTCATCATAAGTGTATTTTAGTGCTGTATGAAGTTGTTCTTTATTCTTATGATGTAGTTCGATGTAGTTTGCTTTAGTTGCAGCTTTTTTTGAAATTGGAAGTGTTTAGATGCATCTTTTGATGAATGTACGCTCTTTGTTACATCTACCATCAACACAACTTGTTCTAATACTTTAGATTTTTCTTACCTCAGTTCTTTTTCTAAAAGTCTATATTTTAAGTTGAGGTAAAGAACTTTCCAGGACTTTATCTATTGCTTCCAGTTTTGTTGTTGTTGTTGTTGTTTTGTTTATTTTTTATGTCTGATAATGTGTTCTCAAGTTTGGCTTCCAGTAATATTGGGACATTGATTCAAGGCCTCCAAATAATTTTTTATGCATCTAAGCATTTATTTTTGTCAGAAGGGCAAAAATTCCAGTAATCAGTTTTCTGTTCCTAACAGTTGAGTTTAAAAAGTAGAATTCTAAAAATTAAACATTCTATATCCTTCTATATGTAAAAACCACCACCATTTTCCACAACAATCCATAGGGATCTGGGCCTGGTCTAAGGTTCCCTATTCTGCCTGGCTCAGTGTCTCCAGGAGCAGAGTAACACAGAACATCACAGCCATTGGCCCCAGAAGACTTGGGTGGGCTTCATCAGGTATCCATGACCCTCTGACCACAGAGAACTCAGTAGGCATTACCCCCTGACCCACACCAGTGCCTAACAATCAGAGAAGACCTTACAGAGTTGGGGTAGAGAGGGAACTAGTATCGTAGAAGAGACGCTCCCAAACTTACTCACATGGTAACAAACAGACGGGGTTGATACAGCATGTCCCCAGAGTGCTTACAAGCTGAAGATCATGGCCTGGGTCTCTGGCCAACACAGTCCTGCTTGCTGCCCCATGGACTCAGGGCTTCAATGTGTTGTTGCATTTGTAATCAATTTAGGCATCACTGGGGTTGGGAAGCTCCATGGTCAAGTAATTGAAGGCCCCTAACCCTGTTCAGTGCTCCATCTTCTCTTGAATATATTTTTCATTCTTTGGCCCAGGGTCTCATCCTACTAACAAAGCTCCAGAAAACATGCAGCTCAGTGCCTCTCCTGGTTTGTTTTTGGTCTCCTAAATGTACATGTTGGGTGGAAGGTGCAGGATGGGTGGGACCCCACAACACGTTTCAAACGTGGTGTGCTGAAGGAAGCTTGTGCTGGCTGGTGAGAGCCAACTGTTTATATCTCTTCCTAAATCCATGCTAGGCCTCCTATGACCTGAAGTCCTTCACAATGGGAGTATTCCACCACAGAACTTGGCAAGTATTGCAAATCAAGGCTTTTTTTTTTTTTTTTTTTTTTTTTTTCTGGCTAGCCAGTTGGTAACCATTCACAAGCACATCACTGCCTCAGGACTTCTAAATCTCAGCTGTGTTCTTCATCTGTCCCCAAGTTTGTGGTGTTCTCTCTCATGCCTTTGCTCACTACAGTACTACAGTCATCACCATGCTAACATAAAGCAGGCCCACAGATGTTTTTCTCTTGGCTTCTTCTCATTCCTCCTGTAGGGAACATGGTGGAAGTTCTGACTGACCTCCGCACAGTCTTAAGTGATCTCCATAGAACTTGGCCTGGTCCGCTCTGTACCTAACACACATCACATTCATTTCTATCTAGCTGAAGTTTTCCCCAAAGCTGTATGTCCTCAACCACTTCCATAAATCTGTATCCTCTCAGAGTTCAAAAGAGAAAACAGAACGAAAGCATTCTTGCTTATTTTATTTTTCTTGAGTTTCTATTTCTTTTTCTCTCTCATTCCTGCATTTAATCTGGGTGGTGAGGAGACTAATGTTACTCTCCCCTGCCCCGCACATACCCTTAACCTGTCTGGCCACTTGCCTTTTCCTTTGGTCTATATTTCTTTCCATAGGCTCTCTCTTCTAAACCAAAGGCAAGAGTGCTCTTCAGCTTCCTGTTATTAGAATTGGTATATGCGTAACATAGAATATATAGCATATAGTAGGACTTTTTAAAATTTGGAGAAATACATATCATGGTTTTAAGAAAGTGAGCTTTGAGACTAAGAGATCACGCAAACTAAGAGCTAAAATAGTATATGCCTAACAGAATGTGTAGCATACAGTAGGACTTTTCAAAATTTGGAAAAATATATACCATGGTTTTAAGAAAGTGAGCTTTCTTAGAGCTGATCAATAACTTTCTTAAGGCATCATTTTCCCTCTTCCTTCCTGAGGTAAAAAATGTCATGGTTTAGCCTTAATAGTAGGGCTGAAATAAAATATAGGGTAGAGAGGAATTAAAAATCATATAAGTTTAATATTTGAAAATGTTATCACTGATGTGATTGTATTCTTTCTATTGAGGAAAAAGGCAGATAAAACATTCTACTTCAAAATATCAGAAATGTATATGAATTTTGTATATTTTGAGGTATTTATTTTTATATGCCCATAGTTCCTAAACTTTTAAATTTAGAAGTATAAAATGTGTGTTGAATGTCCAAGAAATGTAAAATAGTTAAATAATGAAAACATAGATTAATAGTATGCATTTACCAAGGTAACTTTGAGTGTTGTGGAAATGTGTTGCAGAAAATATTTTATCCACTAACATAACCAGGAAATATTGTAAATAATATTCACCATGACTTTATTTTCAGTATTGTAATTAATAAAATGTGGCTAAATAAATCTCTAAATACACCTAAAATATTTTCTTCAATTAATTAAAAATATGCATGAAAGAAAAACCAAGAGTAAACTAGTTGTAATGCATTGATTAGTCGTATTCCGATTCTTGCATTTGAAATAGCCATAGTTCTCTTCAACACTACCTCAACAATGCCCACTGAAATTTCATAATACTTTCTCATTTCAATTCAAGTTCTGCAATACTCTAAAAATTATATTTCCAAATCATCATTCTGATTATGCTATCATGCCTTTGCAATTAGTGTGATATTCTGTCTCTTTATAATCACTCCAATCCCATCTATCTCATTTTCATCTATTCTCACTCTCATCTATGCATCCTCTTATCCAGACTCATTGAACTAGTTCTTACAGCTGATAGGTGTGAGCTTTTTAGTAGCTTACTTGAGCTGTACCAAATGTTGCAAAGATCACTAAGATAAATTTCAGACAGAAACAACTAAGCTTAGATTTGTGCAGTGTGTCTTCCTACAGTGAATTAGTCTAGAGGGAGAAAACTGATCCAAGATGAGCCAATTAGGTGTTTTCTTCTAGAATTTTCAATTGAGATGAAGAGAGCCTAACTCATCTAGTTTTCCAGAATGTAGGAAGTACACATCTGAAAACTACAGAATATGCATCTTGCCTGTGTTCTGAGAGTTTGAAAGGGTTGGTCTTCAGAAAGAGAAAGTATACCAAAAGCGTTAGAGACAAGGGACCATTAAAGCCTCAGAGTTTATCAGTCCTTGATCCCAGTGCTCCTGTGCTTCTGCTCTTAACTTTTGTGGACACACTCCTAAATTCTCAAAATAAATCCTTGTTTTGAAGCTAATTTAGATACTTTCTGTGGCTTGCAACCCTAAAATATTCACAAGTACATGCCCTGATCAAGAGTCAGGCGGGGCACAGTGGCTCACGCCTGTGATCCCAGCACTTTGGGAGGCTGAGGCGGCCGGATCATGAGGTCAAGAGATCAAGACCATCCTGGCCAACATAGTGAAACCCTGTCTCTAATAAAAATACAAAAATTAGCAGGGCATGTTGGGACACGCCTGTAGTCCCAGCTACTTGGGAGGCCGAGGCAGGAGAATTGCTTGAACCCAGGAGGCAGAGGTTGCAGTGAGCCGAGATCGCACCACTGCACTCCAGCCTGGGTGACAGAGTGAGACTTCATCTCAAAAAAAAAAAAAAAAAAAAGCGTTAAAGGTGAAGAAGATATTGACAATTTTAGAAGATGCATACACTTCACATGTGTTTCAAGATCACTTCACTAATATCTTTTGATTAAATTATGCAATGATTATTTCCAAGACGTATCATGACTTTCTTCATTTTCAGATCATCTTGTCCAGTCCTTACCACTGTATTGATATGTGTTATTTGCTATTTTCTACGGTGAGCCATCATTGGAAGTTGTTTTCTCATTCCCAGCTCCCCTTGCATGCAGCTATTTTTGCCAAATGAATATGAGCAGAAATGATGTCCATCATTTCCAGGGTAGGACCTATACTCCGGTAGTGGGATTTTTCCATGTTCCAAATTCCCATCTGACTGGCTATACACAGACGATGCCCTGGAAATTGAGGAACCAGATATTCCAATTGCCTGGGTTCCTGTTTCACCACATCAAAGATCACCTGTTAACCAGGGGTACATTTAGCCAATACCTGAAAACTGTTCTTCTATTATAGGAAATATAAGTTAAATAAAATGTGGGGATTTGTTTTTTCTCACTAAATGTACTTGACTATAGGCTCCACAGCATATAGGATGCTACAATGCTGAAAGTCCAAAACATACATTTGTTGATTAAGGGTATAAATCTATTGAACTAAAGTCATATGTTTATGCACTTGCCTTAGAGGAGTGTTAGACATGAATTCTAAATTTCTTTTCAAAGAATCAATATGTCAGTGTGTTCAATTCTTTGCCTTCTACTTTTAAACTTAACTTCCTCTTAAAGCAACCTTTTGCAATTACCTGCTCCACCCTGACTCATTCCAATTACCTGCTCCACCCTGACTCATTCCGATTACCTACTCCATCCTGACTCATTCTGATTTCCTGCTCTGTCATAACCATTTTTCCCACCAAACCTCTCACCCCGTCACTCACTTTAAATTAGCCAATTGGAATTAGTTTAGCCTGTGCAGTCTAACCCTAGCCAATAGGGGAATGACACAGCAGCAGGGGCCACCTGCTTCAGGGATAAGAACCCCTTCCCCTCCCTTGTCCAAGCGTGTGCTCACTATTGCTCCATCTGTAAGGGCCCACCCTTCTGTAGAAGTACCTTGCCTTGCTGAGAATTAAAAGAAAATTTTATATTTGAGTGCTATTTCTTTTGTGGCACTGAAACTTTACATATAAGAGGAGTAAATATTTTATATATCAATACATAGTAGAAGTAATTACAGTTATCTTTTCCTTCTCCCAAGACATAATAGGATTCCCCTTATTTAAGGGTGTTACAGGGAGTTATGTGGTAAGAAAGCAGATTTAGAAAACTGTAATTTGAGGGGGAAGAGAAAGTGCCAAATACTTTATGGTCTTGCTGCAACTGTGCTATTAGGGAAGTTAATGAATTGTAGTTAAGTCTTTGCCCCATGAAAATGCATACTTTGGGTTTTAACACATGAAAATGTGATTTATCCATGGCTTTAGAATGTAGCTTTTTCCTTAAAAAAAAGAAATAATAATCTGTGGTCCCAGCTGCTAGGGAGGCTGAGGTAGGAGGATTGCTTGATCCTGGGAGTCGCAGGCTGCGGTGAGCTGTAATTGCACCACTGCACTCCAGCCTGGGCAACAAAGTGAGACCCTGTCTCAAGAAAACAAACAAACAAGCAAAAATAAGTAACAAAAAAAGTAAAATTAATTTTATTTGGGGGGAAATATTATAGGACTGGCGAATAGTCACTGCTTGGTTAGGCTCTCTTGTCCTTCGTAGTGTGCCACCTAAGGAGTATCTGAATAATATGGTGTTTTGATATTTGCAGAGTTAAAAGGGCTAATAAAAGGAAGAAGAAAAAAATAAACTTTAGTGGTGGAAAAATCATGATGGCAAACTAGCATTCCACCTAATTATTTCTAGATCTGGCCTAATTTATATCCCTCAAAATAAACCCTCTATTTAAAATAAAAAAAAATAGAAACCTAATTTAAGATTTTTTCCCATTAAACTTAAAGAAACTTTTCATAAATTGGGACATTTTAAGACAGATGCAATTGGAAAGCAGCATGTTATATTCAATAATATATGATGACAAAATAAACTCACTCAAAGGAATCTAAAATATTCCTAAATTTTTTCTAGAAATTTTCACTCATTCTTAATCTTCTTTATGTGAACATTTCAATGCATTTTAAAATATCTGTTGTATAATGATTAGGTTTTTATGTTTTTTTATTGTATTTCAGTTAGCAAAGTTTGAAATGGCAAAAATGCAGTTTATTTTTGTACCATACTTAAGGTTTTAATTACAGATTTTCTTTTTTATCTTTAAATCAAACCCAGTAAAAACAGAGACAAAATTTATTGGTGTTATAGGCATTGGAATAAACCCATTTAATATCTGTAGCCATGAGTAAAAATGTAGATGCTTTTTATAGAAATCAAAAATTAATCTGACAGCATGAAGAAGTCGGGAAGGAAATATCAATAGCTACCAAGTACATGAAAAATCATTATCTACCAAGTACACTAACTAGACATTGATCAAATGATTTAATGAATAATTTAGTTAATTTTACACTTGCTTTGAAAAGACGACCCATCAAATAAAAAAATGGCTGGCTGGGTAAATTAAACTTTTACTTTTCATTTGAATACATAGTGCAAGCTATGTATAGTTGTGGCAGAACTATTTTTCTATGTATTTGTTTTCTCCTAATCATGGTCAAGTGTTGGGAACTTATGCCCAGAATATTCATTATTCCCTCATTATCAATAAATCATAAATATATATTGTTACATGCATCTTGGTCTTGGTTTGGAAAAATGAAATTCAAATAAACAGAAAAAAATGGATTTACATATTCTTCTTCTTTGCTCTGTTCTCAACAAGTAGTGATTATTTGAGACTTTACATCACAGTCATTAGTAAGTATTTTGGAAACAGTAAGAAATACAATAACGAACATTGGGACTGTTATATTAGTTCTGTCATTAACTTTCTTTGTGAGACCAGTCAAGAAATTTAATCTCCGGTTCTCAGGTTTTTAATGAAGATAATTTTTCTACCATATCTCAAGAGTTGTTACAAAACTAAAAAGAGATAATGTTATATAAAATCCTGTTGAACATAACTATTTTTTAATAATTATACTTCAAGGTTTGGAGCAGATACACTTTCCATTTTCTTTCCTTCATGAAAATGAGTGAGGAGTCTGTTTTAAAAAGAAGAAGAAATGATCAAGAGCAAGGGGCTCAAACCCCACGAGAAATCACCTATTCACCAAAAGAGGGGAAACTACCTCTTGACACACAACGTGTTGAAAGCTCTTTTTAAAAGCTCTGTTTAGAATACCATCTGGTCCCAGCATGCTTCATAAAGCAAAGAAAAGAGAGGATGATGGGGCTTGGCACATCTACAGCTCTCCCTGTTAGTGAAGGAATGCTCGCCATAATACTGGCTAATGGATGAAGAGCAAAATACAAAACAAGGAGCAGCAAGTGGGACCCAGTTCGTTAGGCAATGTCACCTACATGTAAATGGGGTCATGATCAACAGTATCTCAAAGACTAAGCATGCTTATGGGCTTCAGGATGTAGAAAACATCCTGAGTATCCACTAATAGGGTCTGGAGTAATAGACTTGAAAAGCAGCATTACTGAAAGAGTGAACAGATTGCTGGGCTGAACTACCATGGTGAGAGCCAGCAGCGTGGTGCCAAAAACAGTCAGGACTGTTATGATACCTGAGTTAACACAGAGATGATGCCAATGTGCCCAAGCATATTTTTTAGAATTAGAATGGCCCTTTAGTTAGAAATAATAATAATAAATAGGCAGAAGTAGTTACCTTAAGGAATCATGTTAGCTTAATGCTTTCTTTAAGGGGATACATTGTATAGGAGAATATACTATTTACCTAAACAGTTAGTATTGGTATTTACCTCACCATTCAAAACTCTCTAAATGGAAAACAGCCATATTATGACAGGAGTGTCAGACTGCTTTTTTTTTTTAATGCTTCTCATTTCATTTTTTTACTCTTTGTTAGTTCCTTTACAACATAAAAGTTCACTCTTTAATGTCATAGAATCCTGGTTATTGGATCTTGTAAATCCTTGGGAAAAAATCTCATTTTTCCACTTACTGTCATACTTATGGGTAAGATACACGCCATCTGTCCAAAAAACACGTGTGTACATACATGCATACACACGCCTGTGCATACATACGCACGTGTGTATGCATATATATATACATGTGTGTACACACATACATAAACATGCACGTGTGTGTGCATACATACCCACATGCACAGTGAATCTCAGAACCACCTGTGCAAACAAATCTTACAGTCTGAGATTATCGTGAACCTCTGGGGAAAGGTGGCTAGTTTCTAAGTCAGAATTGCAGAATCATTTGATGTCCATAAACAGTAATTTTCCTTGACTCATTCTGCAATTAAAAGCAACTGAAGTGATACAATGGGAATACTTGGTGAAATACTCAGATACAGCATTCAGAACAAGATGTAGGAAGAGGGAGAATGTAGTCATGATAAATATCTTCATTTGCAACAAAAATCACATAGCAGAGATTTGCAAGTAGAAAGGAATGCAGTGATTTGTACTGATTTTTTTTTTTTTACCAACACACAAATGAACAAAGGAATGTGAACAATGAAAGAGCTGAACTGTCAAAGCAGCAACCTCATTAGACCTGGGTAAGAAATTTTCTCTAACAACTATGGCAAGTTATTTCCTCACTGAGCTGGAGAGGGCAAGGAGGGAAAATAACTGTAAGTTTAGTATGATTATTAAAAAACCTAATGAATAATTATAGTCCATTAAATTATTGTCTTGACGATTTTACTAACATCTCCTGTAGGTTCCATCCCACCTACTTTCCCTCTCCTCCCCTTATGCCTTTTTTCCCCAACTGTACTTTATAGATACTAACCAAAAGAAAAAAGTAGTTAGGTGACAGGATTTGCTTTATATACAAAAAGATGTTCTGAATGTTTTATGGTCAGGAGAGGGTAGGTTGCACTGCAATAACAATCTCCAAAACTCAGTGGCTTGGCACCTCAGGTGTTTGTTTTTTGCTCACACAAAGTCTGCTATAGTTTGGCATGACTTCAGAACAACAGGCCCTATGAAGCAACTCAGTTCATGTTGCTTTCACTTTTTGAACTCACCGTCTCAATATATTGTTTCCTCCACCATTACCATAGCAGGCATGCAGACAGAGACTGGAAAATTCATCATGAATTCTTCACAGTCTCAGCTAAAAATTGACAGACATCAAATCTGTAACCACCTCATAGACCAGACAGAATTAGTCATAGGGCCTTGTTCATCTGCTAGGGAGTTTTAATGTGCTGTTCTTTCTGTGCATAGATGGGGAAGATAAGTAGATGCAGAAAAACCCTCAAAATGGTTAGTAAAATACTTTCCTTTTGCAAAATTTTTATCTGCTTTTATAAATGTTACCTGGACAAGATTGGACATTCTATATAATTTGCAAAATGTCTTTTCTGGACAGTTTATCTCTTGTTTGCTTCCATTCCAAAATTGATTACATATTATTACAAATAAAATTATATTATTGGTTGCTTTGAGATTCATGTAATTAATGATGTTTTTCTTTCTTTCTATGTCATCTATGATGTGCTTTTACAATATGATTTGCATATTTTATAAGGACAAATCAGAAAATACCGTGACTTAATTGCTATATTCTTCATCCTTGCACTTTGTGCATATACAATACAATAAACATTTTTACTGAAATTATGCTATTCTTGGTCAGTTAATGTGCTTAAATAAAAGCATGTTTTAAGTTACTATTTCCAAGTTAAGTAGTGTATCAATTAAATTAGTACAACTGAGCTGATTCTATTATAAAGGCATAAAAACTGATACATTAATACTGGGAAGATAGTAGTATCAACAAATAATAAAATTCATCCAAAAACTTAATGTTCATTAACATTAAGTTCACTAACATGAAAATACGTAGTTCACTAACATGAGAATATTTTGCTCATAAAATGAAAATGAGAATGACTTTTACCAGTGAGTTCAGGGGCTGTAGTAAAGCCTTCTAGCAGAATGTATCCTATGTTTAACAGAATATTTGTCCTTGTTTTCCTCTCTGTCTCAGCCAATCATCTTGAAAATGGTGACAATATTCAGTGTCTTTTTTTTTTGCAATTCATTACCAACTCTCTCCTATCGTTTCACTGAAACTCCTCTGGTAACCTGCACCATTAATCTTCATATCTCTGTATTCATTGGACACTTTTCAGTCCTCATTCTACAATGATCTCATTGCATTTCACAGTATTGATCTTTTCTTACTCTGGAAAACTACACCCTTCTCTTCTGTGATACAATATTTTTCTGATTTTTCTTCCACTCTATTTGATCTTTATTCTTGGTTTGCTTTGTCAACCTTTTTCTTCCTCTCCCCATTACATAGTACTGATTTCCATGATTCTCATTTCTGCTTACTGAGTCTTTGTTCTTTTTAAATCTTCCTTTCTCTTCTGGGTGATGATTTTACTGTCATATTTTTAACAAAGACTATATGCTAGTAACATTCATATCTATGCATCTAATTTTAATCTAGCATCTGGATTTCATATCTTCAAATGAAAGCGCTTAATGGACATACCTTTCTGGAAGTTCTCCAGATACTTCCAGTTCCACAAGTTCACTTCATCTTACCCTCCAGATTTATACACTTGAATATTATCTCATATATTGGCACTACTGTCTACACTGTTACACAAAATAGTCATCCTAGATGACTGTTTCTTATTGTTTAAATCAATCAATTTATAAGACCTTATAATTTTATTTACACAAAATTTCTCATATCTAGTGGGTCTTCTTTATCCAAATTAACGAGACCCTAGCTCTGGTTCTCAATATTATCTTACCTAGATTACTGCAATACTTCGTCACTCAACTTGCCAACTCTAGAATTCCTGCTCTCAATACATATACTCTGATTATTTTTTTACCTCTGCCTGGAATATATATTTCCTAATTCTTTCCCAAGTCTTCTTTTCATTGATTATTACTCTTCTGTTAAGTTTCAGCCCAGGCGTAACTCTCTTTGAGGGGAGGCTTTCTAGACTTTCAGGGGAATCCTGGGCAGGCCAGCTTTGTTTGTTTATTCATTTCTTCAGCTTATGTAATGCTTACCTTGCTGCATTTAACATTTGCTTTATACATCTCTCTTTTCGGTGAGTTGCTGGCTCTTTAAAGGCAGACATCCTTGAAGTACTGGTGCTGTGGACGATGTCATTTCCATTCTAAGAATTCAGTAAGTGCCAGTTGAAGTAGACTGTCCTCTCCTTGCCAGCTCACCTACGCCTGCTTCACCTCATCAACTTCTCGCAAATAAATCTTTCACCCCCTTACTCTTTTCTCTGGGAAGCTTCATTAAAAAATTTATATTTATGTTTAATGGAAAGAAAAAAATGCACCAGAACTTTATAGAAGCCATACATTTATCTTCCATTCGATTCAATCAACTTCAGTTAGCCAAGAGGTAAAAATAGGTCCACCAGATGAGAAAGGCCTTTCTCTATAGGCTCTATAAGGAAGATCAGGCTGAGTAGGGAAGGGTAGGATACATGAGTGAAGGAATTAAAATTTAACGTCTTGTTAACCTTTTTCCTTTTTAGTTGACACATCATAATTGTACATATTTATGGGATAAAGAGTGATATTTCAATATATGTCTATAATATTTAATGATCAAATCAACATAATTAATCATCTTTATCACCTCAAACAATTATCATTTCTTCCTGCTGTGAATATTCAATATCCTCTTTTAGCTTTTAGCTTTTTGAAAACACACACTAAATTATCGTTAGCCAGATTCACCCTAGAGTGCTACAAAACAATAGAACTTACTGCTCCCATCTAGCTGTAGGAAGGGACTGGGGCTAGTTACAAGTCCACAGTCTAATTTTACAAAGTTTTTAACCACACAAAAAGTACTGTGATAATAAAGCCATTCCAGTTACAAACTTTTACCCTCCTCTTAAAATCGAATGATCTTTGAAAACCCTGCCTTCATGCCAACCACAGTTTCTACGATTTCCTTTTTCTGGGTCCTTTCTTTCATGGCCATTAGCCATTGCCAATTTTCACTTTTTAAAATGCTGGGATACAGGAACAAGAAAAGCAGATTTTTATTCCTTTCAGGGATTTCTCACTCTTCTTAGCCTTACTTCTAGGTCTCTGCCTATTTTCACCGAAGTAACTGTTGATAGCACTTCCTTTCTTTGAAAATAGTAATTAAAGATTCCTGTTTTCTTGGTAGGCATCTTGTTTGGAATCACTATTTTCAGTGGTAATTAGCTCATCAGAGCACTCAATACCAACAGTAAGTTAATATATTACTTCTTTTACAAATCAGCTACAGTGAACTATGTATCCAAATATTTACTATAGCAAATAGTATATGAATCAAGATTAGACAACAAATTTTTCAAGACAGTAAAATGTTATTTGCATGATGATAAATAGGTACACTGAGGTAATTGATATTTTTTCTGTCAGTATGATAATTTACATCTTCCACTAGGTTCAAACTGATCCAAAGCATGCAACAATATATTATAGGCAAACTTAACCAAGAAGAGAAAGAGAAATATTTTCTTAGAGAAATGTTCTTCTTCAGAGTAGTAAGAAATATTTATAGATAATGTGGATGAAAATCCAAAAATAATATTTTGAAATGTCCCATACAAGTTTTTTTTCTGGATATCATATTCAAATAATATTAGCACTGTTTAGACATCATGATCCTGTGTCTGCAGGTTTTATTTTATGAAGGAGGCTAACAGATGGAGCTACCACTTTGTCCTAACAGAGATTTTCTTAATTTCACAAGAGGTAGCCAGAAAATATAGACTGGAAAGATGCTTTTCCATACACCCACTCAGTAGTAGTTACAAAATGTCAAAGGAAAAAAAAAATAACTCAAGAGTTTTCACTTCTTCAAGCCCCATTTACCAAACCACTAGCATTACTTTGTTGTTCACTGCTCAGATTTTTATTATCCCCACTTACAAATGGTACCTGCACAGCCCAGAGACTAAATCGTTCCAAAATATCTTGTTTGCAGATGCTCTCTTGCTTGTTTTCACTCAAGCATTGATTAGCTAATACTCTAAATAAGGAGTCTGATTTACTTTCTTTTGACTTGATGTGATTATCTGTTTAATGACTCATATTAAATATTTAACAAAAATATTTGTATGCATTACACAAGTACAATTTTGAAAATATTAGCCTTAAGTTAATTACTTACGTTTAATCTTTCCACTTCATGGGAATATAGTATAATAAATATCTTTACTACAATCATGCCATACTTGGGAAATGTATGTTTACAAAAAAAAATTATAAAACTAAGCATTGGTAACTATTCCCTAGTAGAACAGGGTATCATTAAAATCATTATATGTGCTATACATGCAGATATAAATGTAGGTATCTTTAGAATGTAAAAATTCATGTTTCCCTTAAAATATTTAGATGTCTAATTGGATTGGTATAAGTAAACATGAGTAGTATGATCCATAAACATGTGGTTCCATTTTAATATAGTAATTTTTGAAGTATAATAAGTGAAATTATTTGGTAGCTAAGTTCACAAAATTTTTAATCAAATGAAATGTTCAAGATAAAAATAAGATACATAAAAGATAAGATAAAAATATAAGCTGATATCAGAAACACGCTGTATTATTTAAGATAAAGAATGACTGCAAGTAACAACTTAAATCATGGCGTGCCTCAAAAACAGAAGCTTATTTATGTTTGAATAAGTATTATTCTAAGATAAGCAGTATAGGGCTGATATGTCAGCTCCACTCCCTCAAAAAGCCAGTCTCCTCCCAGCTCAGGGTTCATCTTTCTAAGGTGTGGCGTTTGTTCTCACAACCCAAGATGGTTTCTGAATTTCTTGCAGCAGAATAAGATAAGAAAAAAATTGTCATGGTGTAACTTCCTTTTAAGGAAAATTCCTAAATCTCCCACATAAAACTTCAAATTCATTGGGTAGAAATTAGTCATATGGAGTCATCTGGAGCCAAAGGGAGACTGAGCAGTGTTCTTAAACTGGATGTTCATATGTTCAGGTACAAGCCAGAGTTTCTAGTAAGAGGGGAAAATGAAAGAATAGACATGAAGGACAACTAAGAGTCTACTGATCTTAAATTTTAATTACCATTTATAGAATCTGCCCTCAGGTAATTTTTAATATTTCATATTCAGAAATATTAAGCTAATAAAAATTTTTATTTGAATCATAATTGATAAATGTTTTACTAGGTTAAATAATTTTTTGAAGTGCATAATTATATTAAATGGGCCAAACATCATATTGTTTAGTATTCAGTTAATTCATTGCCTGATATATTAATATATATTATTGAGAACACTTTAAGGGATAATCAAATTGGATGTCGATTAATTGTTACAACATCCTTGGAGAGGGACCTTTGAGCAATGTGAGAATTATACAGATTGTACTCTGCTTTGCTGAAGTTAGAAAAATGTACTTGAAGAGACTAAAGTCCTTATGTGGTTTCGTGGAGTGGAATTACCAAGAGACTGCTTCCTAGTAATTTGGGGATATTCCTGTTTCATTTACTATACCTTCTGTATAATGCGTTTCACTGTGTTGCTTTCCGTGTTTCCTGTAACAGTTAAGCCCAAGTGAAAAATAAGGGTTTTCATTAACTTCACAATAATAACACTCTTCATTTTTCATGATTAAGTTTGTTATATCTTTACAGCCACTGTTAACAAATTATTTATATTCATTTTACAAATAGGAACCTGAGACTCAGAGCTTTTAAATCATCTAATAAATCACAAGACCTAAGTCGAAATCATGAACCAATGGACCTCAATGGTGTTTTTGCATACCGTTGCTTCCAGAAGACATGAGGTTCTTTCTCATTTCTGTTAAGCTTCTTCTACACTAGAGCAGAGTACATTTTAACTCCAAGGAGTGAGTTTGGTTTTTTTTTTTTTTTTTTTTTTTAACAACTTCTCTTATTAAGTTCAGTGTTTGTGTAATAGGGACTACTTTTTTTTGAAATATATTAATGTTTTTTCTCATTCACATTTCTTTATATATCCTTTTTCTCTAGTGATTCAGAGCAAGTGTTTTCTCAGAGCTGGCTTGCACTGATTTGGGAAAGCTGGTGATTAAATTTTCAGAAAATCTTGCAAACTGCTTGTTAAATGGAGGCATGTTAAAAATTAAATTCTGGCTGGGTGCGGTGGCTGACGCCTGTAATCCCAGTATTTTGGGAAGTCAGGGTAGGTGGATCACTTGAGGCCAGGAGTTTGAGACCAGCCTGGTCAACATGGCAAGAAACCCCATCTCTACTAAAAATTCAAAAATTAGCCAGGCATGGTGGCGCGCACCTGTAGACCTAGCTACTCGAAGGCTGAGGCATGAGAATGGCTTCAACCCAGGAGTCGGAGGTTGCAGTGAGTCGAGATCTCATGCCACTGCACTTCAGCCTAGGAGACAGAGTGAGACTCTGTCTCAAAAAAATAAATAAAAATATAAATAATTAAGTTAAAATTAAATTCTATGAATTTACAACTAACAAACTATAGTAAAACAAAAATAATAAATACAACTCATCCTTCTTAATTATTTTACTATGTTTTATTAATATCTATCCTTGAGAATGATTCATGTGCTGAGGAGTAGAGTGTGTATTTTGCAGCCATTAGATGAAATTATTTTCTAAACATCTATCATGTCCATTTGGTCTACAGTACTGATTAAATCCAATGTTTCTTAGTTGACTTCTGTCTGGGTGATCTGTTCAGTGCTGAAGGTGGGATGTTGAAGTCTCCAGCTATTTGGGTCTATCTCTCTTTTTAGCCCCAGTAAGATTTGTATTATATATTTGTGTTTTACAGTGTTGGGTGTTTAAATATTTGCAGTCGCTACATCCTCCTATAGAATTGACCCCTTTATCATTAAATAATGACTTTTTTTCTTTTTCTTTTTCTTTTTTTTTTTTTTTTTTTTTTTGAGAGAGAGTCTTGCTCTGTCACCCAGGCTGGAGTTCAGTGGCGCGATCTTGGCTCACTGCCAGCTCCACCTCCTGGGTTCACGCCATTCTCCTGCCTCAGCCTCCCGAGTAGCTGGGACTACAGGCGCCCACCACCACACCCGGCTATTTTTCATTTTTTATTTTTGTATTTTTAGTAGAGACAGAGTTTCACCGTGTTAGCCAGGATGGTCTCGATCTGCTGACCTCATGATCCGCCCGCCTCGGCCTCCCAAAGTGCTGGAATTACAGGTATAATGACATTCTTTTATAGTTTTTGTCTTGAAATATATTATATTTGATATAAGTATAGCTACTTATGTTCTTTTTTGGTTTTTATTTTCATGAAATATCTTTTTCCATCCCCTTTCTAAGTGTGTCTTTATATGCAAAGTGTGTTTCTGTAGGCAACAGGTTGTTGGGTTTTGTTTTTTATCCATTTAGCCACTCCATTTACATTCCATGTTATTATTGATAAGGAATGGACTTGCTATTGCCATTTTCAAGTTTATTTTCTGGTTTTGCGGTTTTCCCTTCCTTCCTTCTTGTTTTTCCTTTTATGAAAATGATTTTCTCTGGTGGTGTGTTTTAACTTATTTCTTTGCATCTTTTGTGATCTTCTGTACGTTTCTTCAAAATTTAAGGTTACCATAAGGCTTGCAAATAACATCTTATAACAGATTATTTTAAACTTATGACAACTTAACTCTGATTGCAAAAACAATTTTACAAACAAGTAAAGAGAAAATTAGTTAAAACTGTACATATTAACTGCATCCCACTTGCTTTTTAACTCATTTCAATTTATATTCTATTATACTATATCTTAAAAAGATGTTATATTATACTTACTATTTTTGATCAGTTTATCTCCTAGTCTTCCTACTCAAGTTATGACTAGTTTACACACCACAATTACAGTGTTATAATATTCTGTATTCGTCTGTTCACTTACTGTTACCAGTGAGTTTCGTACCTTCAGATGAATTCTTAGGGCTCATTAACATCCTTTCCTTTCAGACTAAAGAACTCTCTTTAGCATTTCTTGTAACATAGGTCTGGTGTTGACAAAATCCCTCAGCTTTTCTTTCTCTGGAAAGTATTTGAAGAATATTTTCACTGGATATAATATTCTAGAATAAAATCTTTTTTTCCCTTTAGTCCTTTGAGTATGTCACACCACTCTCTGCTGGCCTGCAATGTTTCCACTGAGAAATCTGCTGTGAGATGTATTGGAACTCCTTTATATGTTTTTTATTTGTTTCTTTTTTTTTTATTTCTCTTGCTGCTTTTAGGATCCTTTTTTATCCTTGACCTTTGGGTGTTTAATTATAAAACACCTTCAGGTAGTCTTATTTGGGTTAATCTGCTTGGTGCTCTATAACCTATTTGTACTTGAATATTGGTATCTTTCTCTAGGCTTAAAAATTTTGTTAATATCTCTTTGAAAAATTTTCTATCTTGATATCTTTCTCTGTCTCCTCTTTAAGGCCAATATATCTTATATATGCCATTTGGAGGCTTTTTAAAAGAACTTGTAGATGTGCTTCTATCTTTGAAAAATGTTCTATTGTGATCTCTTTCTCTGTCTCCTCTTTAAGGCCAATATCTTTTATATATGCCATTTGGAAGCTTTTTTTCAAGAACTTGTAGATGTGCTTCATTCTTTTTTATTCATTTTTCTTTTGACTCTGCTGACTATGTATTTTCAAATACACTGCCTTTAAGTTCTCTAATTCTTTCTTCTGCTTGATCAGTTCTGCTATTGTAAGATTCTGATGCATTCTTCAGTTTCTCAATTGAATTTTTTAGCTCCAGAATTTCTACTTGATTCTTTTTAATGATTGCAATCTCTTTGTTAAATTTATGTGAAAAGATTCTGAATTGCTTCTATATATTACCTTGGATTTGGTTGGGCGTTCTTAAAACAATTATTTTAAATTCTCGGTCTGAAAGGCCTTACTCCAGCATTGATCACTGGTTCGTTATTTAATTTGTTTGGTGAGCTCATGTTTTCCTGGATGGTCTTAACACTTGTAGATGTTTGTCAGTGAAGAGTTAGGTATTTATTCTAATCTTTGCAGCCTGGATTTGTTTGTATCCATCCTTGAGAAACCTTTATAAGTATTTGAAGGGAATCGAGTGTTGTGATCGAAGTCTTTGGTCACTGCAGACATACGTGCATTAGGGGGCACCCCAAGCCCCCTAATGCTGTGACTCTTGCAGATTCATAGAGGTACTGCTTTGGTGGTCTTGAGTAAAATCCAGGAGAATTCCCTGAATCACCAGGCAGAGTCTCTTGTTCTCTTCCTTTATTTCCCGCCAAACAAACAAGAGTCTGTCTGTCTCTGTGCTGAGCTGCCTAGAATTGGGGGAGGGGTGATGCAAGCACTCTGGTGGCCACCACTACTCGGATTGTGCTGGGTTACACCTGAAGCCAGTGCAGTACTGGGTCTTCTTTGCCCAAGGACTCTTAATTAGCAGATGATAAATCCTGCCAGTACTGGTTCTTTCCCTTCAGGGAAGATGAGCCTAGAAATGCTGTCCCTGAGTTAGGGCTTGGAATTAGGGGCTTTAGAAATCTGTTCGGTGCTTTATTTTGCTGGGGCTGAGCTGGTACCTAGGTAGCAAGACAAATTCTTTACTTTTCCCTCTCCTTTTCTCAAGCAGAACCAATCTCTGCTCTGTGTTCACCACCACCCCAGGCCCATGGCAACTACAGTCTAGCTACTACTAACATTTATTCAAGGCCCAAGGGCTCCTTATTTAGCAGGTAGTGAGTCCTGCCAAGCCTGGGTCCATCCCTTCAGGGCAGTGGGATCCCTTCTGGTCCAGGATGGACAGAAAAATGGCCTCCAGGAGTTAAGACCTGGAACTGAGGACTTTGAATGTTTATTTAGTGCTTTATTTTACTGTGACTGAGCTGTTATCCAGGTTGCAAGATAAAGTCCTCTTTACTCTTCCCTCTCTTCCCAGACCTGTGAGCAGCACTGCCTAGAGTTGGAGGAGGGATGGCACAGGCACTCCCTGGGCCACCTTAACTGATATTTCACTGGGTCACATCCACCCCAAGTCCAGTGGGTCTCAGCCCAGCACAATGCCCGGACTTGCTCAGAAATTGCAGTCCTTGTGTCATAGACTGCTTGTCAATCTTATTTAGAACCCCAGAGCACTTTAGCCTGCAGTGATGGGGCTAGCCAGAACTCAGATTCCAGCCACGGGGATGAACAATACTCCTCTGGCTAGGGCTGGTCTAAATTCTCCCTCCATAGGCCCTGGTTGAACTCTGCTCTATGTTGCTTTCTGCTGTGACAGGGCAGCATGGAGTTCCAATGCAAAGTCCCCAAAATCACTCTACTCTTCCTCTCCCAAGTACTCAGATTATCTCTCCCCACATGACAGGTGCCACTGTTGGAGGATCGGGGAATGGTGGTGTCAGCAACTCAAGACTGTCTTTCCTACCCTCTTCCATGCCTTTGGTTGACGTGATGTTAAAAATCAAGTGTGATTGCTCATCTCATTTTAGGTTCTTTTGAAGGTACTTTCTTGTGTAGACAGTTGTTCAATTTGGTGTTTCTGTGTGAGGAACAATTACTGGAGGCTTCTGTTCACCCATCTTGCTCCACCTCATCTATCTCTTTGTTTAATGTGGGTCCTAGAAAGTTTAAAATAGCATACATAGTTAATATTTGTGGTTTGGATTATATTTTAATAAAGACTGCCAATCTTGATAAATAACCCTGATTGAGTATTCCTCTCACATGTGCTCTGTAGGGGTCTAGAAATTTCTTAGTTCTCTGGTGGAGTAGTATGTAGAACTAACAAACAAATGAGCTGATGAGCAGAGGTTTTAGATAAGGATGACTGCCAAGATCAAAGACTGAAGGCAATGACTGAGTCCCTTGCCTGAGTCAAAGCAGTAAATGCAATCTTACAGTTCAAAGATCACAATAAGTTTCTTACATTACAACTGAATTCAGAAAGGGCAAAACTTGATATGCAGAGGTAAGAAGGGCAGCATCTACCAAAGAACAGCATGGATTTCCATCACAGTCTCAAACCTGTATGTTTCAACCTAAGCCTTTTGTCCCCTTGCTGAAATGAAAGCATATGAGCTCAACTCACTGTCTTGTGCCAATAATGCTTTGGGGGTCTTGACCAAAACAGAGAAATAACTTTATACTCTTGTACATATATAAAATTCAGACATAAATATCTCTTTCAAGAGAAATAATCTCAATTTTATGTTAATATAACTGTTAATAGGTACTTTTCATTTGAATTATAATCGCTATCTCTGATACCTAGATTTTTTTTTAAAAAAAAATCACAATAATAGCTTCAGAATTTTAGTAAAGATCTACTTTCAAGTGACATTTCATCATGTTGAGATCTGGAATCATAATAACCTTCCAAGATCAAACATTAAGTTGTCCACTGATTTGTATTAATAAATTTTGGTAAATTCCATAATTATTAAGTTGATCTTAAAACTCTTGTTTAAAATTTGTTTGCTATATTGAAAATATTATTTAAATATATGAGAATCATCCTATGATTACACATTAATACAGTAGTAAAATATTTGCTGCCAAATTTTGAATATTGGTTTGCATTTTGATGATTTCCACATGCAAATTAATCATTTTATTATTAAGAATATCCTTATCTTTAAAATCAGTGATTTTTTCTATCCTCCACAACTACTTTTTATCTAAAATGTCCTTTTTAAATCATCTCATAAAGATGGTGCAATTAAGAGGCATTACTTAAAGCAAAATATAGTTTTATTATTTTGATACCTGTAAAAGAAGCACATGCTTTTGGAACCTTCTTTTCAAATCACAATACTGTTATTTTAGACCCAACTATATTGAAAGGTATGAAAACAGTTAGTTATCTGTTGTCATCAGTCATAATGTCATCTTGTGAATTTTAAAATGAAATGAATTGAAATATAAACTATAATAATCCAGAGGCCTCTTTGTTATGGTTCCTACAGTTAATAAAGAAACCAGTTGTCAATGTGATAGCAGTAAGTCAGGAGACGGGGATTTTGTTTGATAATGTAAGTTTCAGGGGAGAAAAAGAAAGCATAGATCAAATCAAAGTCATTTCAAGGTAACATTATTTTGGAATTTATTCATGCAAATACATTCTGCATTGGTTTGGCATGGAATAAAAAAACTTTGATGCCCTAAGCCAGGGACTATATTACTTGTTATTCCTTGCATCTCTTCCATTGAATACCTATCAGAAAATTTGAGATAAATTTTGGATGAGCATGGGAGAAGCAGCTGTTAAGGCTTGAGAATGGCATAAAGACTCCCAAATTATTCATTTAGCTTTTCAGATTTGTATTTCTATAAAAATAAAAATTAAAGATGAAGTTTTTAGAGTATTTTCTTTGTGGATGATTAAAATATTGTTTATGGTGAATAGCGGGATTGTCAAACTACTGTCACAGAAATCAGGTCTCAGTGCCAATAACAACAGGTATTCTAATATTTTTACATTCCTTGAATCCTAAAGTTTGGGAGCAAAGACAGAATTTACTATGCAATTTTGGAAGCTATGGGTAAGAGAATATACAGTTCTCCCCAACAACAAAAAAAAGTTTTGAAACTGTTTTATGGAAATGTTATTTGAATCCCAATAAATGTTGATGGGAAGTAAAAATACTTAAGCTTTGGGAAGATACAATACTTCAAACTATTCCAAACTCTAAAGAACAGTATGAAAAATTACGTAGATAATATTCACTGAGTAAAGCAGAAGGAGCCCAGCCTATGGCTTCAAAAAGCAATATTTTGAGCTTTTAAAATGTGGTATGACCCTGAGCAAGACACTGAGCTTCTCTGAACCTAGATTTCATTTATGTGAAATAAAAGTAACAATTCCTACCTAATCTACTTCAACTTATTGTGAACTACACATAAGGAAATATGTGTGAAAGACTTGGTAAATTTTATATTGTGTTGATGTTAGATCATCATTGCATCATGAATTTATGTTGTTCTTACAAGTTTTACCTATTCATGGGCTTTTCAAGCAAATACTGCTGAAGGATTTATAACAGACCTTACACGACTAGGAATGTGGGATATATTAAGATTTTTTTTTCCTCTGCCTTTCCTCCCCTTTCATTTTTTTCTCACTTTTTAGGAAAAAAAAAAAGAGAAAAATATAAACAATTTCACTCTAAAGAGAGCAGCATACGTTTTCCTATATTGAAGACATTACCTGAATAAAGCAAAAGCATAAGAAAAATTAAAGAAGATGCTGAGTATTTGGAAAAGATTGAGTTATTGAAATAAATATGTTGCTCAGTAGAAGAGTGAACACACTTAATGTAGAAAAGAGAAACAACTAATGCTAGAAAATGCTAAACCAAAAGTTCCTACAGCCATTAGTTTCCATAGAATGGTTTTGCCTTAATTAACACAAAGAAATGAGGTCATTCTCACGTGACAAACAAATTGATAAGTCATATTAGTAACAAATGAAAGTTGAATATATCCTGAAAGCCATATATATGGCTTTCTTCTTACCCAAGTTTATTTTTTCATCTCACTCCAAGTTTAAATTTTAAAAATTAATCCTTATTTTTGTTCACTTGTAAGTTCATGGACTGATAATTCTATTGCATTGCTGGAACTACAAGAGAAATATTTGCATCTAAGAAGAAAGAAAAATAAGAGTTATATTCTTTCCTCTGTAGCTGGTTTAACTAATGGATTGAACCATAAGAAATCCGCACATTTGACTCCATTTATTTTATTGCTGTTCCTCTAGTCACTGCTTTCCTGGCCTTTCCATAGTCTCTTGCCCTTAGCAAATGCCTCCTTTTCATGGCAGACATGTCAACTATTCTAAATGATGACTGAAGTTCCTTCACTTGACTCAGTTGAGGGAGGAAGTAGCCACACAGCACATAAAATCTTTCTCTGAGAAACTTCTGTATGAATTGGTTTTTCCATTTATCTCCTTGAGGTAGGTGATGAGCTGCAGGTCACAAATTGCCTGTCACAATACGATATATAAGATCTTCTGAATCCGTGCCTCAGTTCTCTTGTTCTCTCTGCCTTTGAGCTTCTCTGTGACAACAGGACAAATTTTAAACATCTCATTTAGCAACCATTGTCTAGACTTAAGCTGTAAAATCCAAAGCTATATAAATAATGTAATTCTCACTCAAAACAAATTCTTAGTTAAAAAGCAACTTCTATCTTTAAAAGTTTCCAGAAATTTATTGTGCAGTCAATATGTATTTTTACCTTATATTTGTTTTCCATTAAGAAAAAGTTTCCTTCCCAGCATGTTGCCAGATACAGTCTATAATTACACATCTAAATCTAATGATATAGAGCAATTTTGATGGCCTACTCTTTTTAGTGCCATTCTTTGAAGAGTACTCTTTGCCATTTCTGTCTCGTGGGGTTCTATAAGGAGAAAAGGAGGTTAAAGGTGTCCACCTATCCAACAAGAGGGTACGTAGAAGTTCTCATCTTACTTTGTTGGTGGCTCTGATGAAAAGAAGTTTCTGTTTTATTTTGTTGGACGCTCTGGACTCATCAATGCTCAAATTAGCTGCTCTTCCCACCATGGCACATGCTTCTCAGTAGAGAAAAGAAATTCTCTCCTACATGCTTGACAAAGATTATTTAACTTAATTATCACAACAACCCTGGTTATATCGTATGATGCTGAGGTTAGGTACAAATGATCCAATCTCCAGTACCAAGCATAATACCGGACACTTTTTCAGCCATTTCCTCTCTCCCTGCCGCTTCTAGTAGTCCCTAGGGTCTATTTTTGCCATCTTTATGTCCACAAGTATCCAATATTTAGTTCCCACTTACAAGTAAGAACACATGGCATTTAATTTTCTGTTCATGTCTTATTTTGCTTAGGATAATGGCCTCCAGCTACATCCATGTTGCTGCAAATGACATAATTTCATTCTTTTTTATGACTGCATAGTATCCAATGGTGTATATGTAGCACATTTCTTTTATCCAATCCACTGTTGATGGGCACCTAAGTTGATACCATGTCTTTGCTATTGCGAATAATACTGCCATGAACATGCAAGGGCATCTTCATTTTTTAGAGAATGATTTGTTTTCTTTTGGAAATATACCCATTATGAAGTTGCTGGATCAAATGGTAGTTGTCTTTTAATTTCTTTGAGAAATCTCTAAAGTGCTCTTCACAGTGGCTGAATTAATTACATTTCCACCAACAGCATATAAGGGTTCCCCTTCCTCCACACCTTCGTCAACATCTGTTTTTTGACTTTTTAAATGTTTATGTTTATGTTTATTTTAATTTCTGGGATACATGTGCAGGATGTGCAGTTTTGTTACATAGGTAAACATGTACCACGGTGGTTTGCTGCACCTATCAACCCCTCTCCTGGGTATTAAACCCCATACCTTAGCTATTTTTCCTAATGCTCTTCCTCCCCCCACCCCACCCTCTGACAGGTCCCAGTGTGTGATGTTCCCCTTCCTGTGTCTACGTGTTCTCATTGTTCAGCTCCCACTTATAAATGAGAACATGCGGTGTTTGGTTTTCTGTTCCTGGGTCAGTTTGCTGAAGATAATGGCTTCTAGCTCCATCCAAGTCTCCGCAAATGACATGATCTTGTTCCTTTTATGGCTGCATAGTATCCCATGGTGTGTATGTGCCACATTTTCTTTATCCAGCCTATTATTGATGGGCATTTGGGTTGATTCCATGTCTTTGCTATTGTGAATAGTGCTGTAATGAACATACATTAGCATGTATCTTTGAAATATAATGATTTTATATTTCTTTGGGTATATGCCCAATAATGGGATTACTGAGTTAAATGGTATTTTTGGTTCTAGATCTGTGAGGAACTGCCACACCTTCCACAGTGGTTGAACTAATTTACATTCCCACCGACAGTGTAAAAGCATTCCTATTTCTCTGCAACCTTGGCAGCATCTGTTGTTTTTTGACTTTTTAATAATTGCCATTCTGATTGGCATGAGATAGTGTCTCATTATGGTTCTCATTTGCATTTTTCTAATGATCAGTGATGTTGACCTTTTCTTTCATATGTTTTAGGCCACATGAATGTCTTCTTTAGGGAAGTGTCTGTTCATGTCCTTTGCCCCTTTTTTTAATGGGGTTATTTGTTTTCTTCTTGTAAATTTGTTTAAGTTCCTTGTAAATTATTATTCTGGGTATTAGACCTTTGTCAGATGGATAGATTGCAAAAATTTTCTCACACTCTGTAGGTTGCCTGTTCACTCTGATGACAATTTCTTTTGCTGTGTTTAGTTTAGTGCTCTTAGTTTAATTAGATCCCATTTGTCAATTTTTGCTTTTGTTGCAATTACTTTGGTGATTTTGTCATAAAATTGTTGCTTGTGCCTATGTCTTAAATGGTATTGCCTAGATTTTCTTCTAGGGTTTTTATAGTTTTGGGTTTTATATTTAAAGCTTTAATAATAATAACAGCCTCTCTGACTGGTGTGAGATAGAATCTCATTGTGGTTTTGATTGGCATTTCTCTGATGATTAGTGATGGGGAACATTTTTTTCATATGTTTGTTGGCTGCTTGTATGTTTTCTTTTGAGAAATGTCTTTTTACATCTTTGACCTATTTTTAATGAGGTTATTTGTTTTTTTTCTTTTTCATGAAGTCCCTTATAGATTCAGGATATTGGACCTTTTTCAGATGAATTGTTTGCAAATTTTTTTTTGCAAATGATGCCTTTAGCTTTGTGCTTTTGGCTTACAATTGCTTTGGCTATTCTGACTTTTTAAAATATTTCATATGAATTTTAGATTTTTTTTTCAATTCTGTGAAAAATGAGATAGGTAGTTTGATAGGAATAGCATTGAATCTGTATATTACCCTGGACAGTATGGTCATTTAGCAATATAGATTCTGCCAAACCATAATGATGGAATATTTTTCCATTTGTGTGTGTCATCTGCAGTTTCTTTTGGCAGTGTTTTGTAGTTATCCTTGTAGAGAACTTTCATCTCCGTGGTTAGATGTATTTCTGGGTATTTTACTTTTGTGCATATGGCTATTATAAATGGGATTGCATTATTGATTTGGCACTGAGCTTGAATGTTATTGGTGTATAGAAATGTTACCGATTTTTGTATGCGTTGATTTTGTATCCTGAAACTTTAATGAAGTTGTTTTATTAGTTCCAGGAGCTTCAGAGTTGCTAGGCTTCTCTAGGTATAGAATCATATTCTCAATGAAAACAGATAATTTGACTTCTTTTCTTTTTTCTTATTTGGATGCCTTTTGTTTCTTTCTCTTGACCGATTTCTCTGACTAGACTTCCAGTACTACGTTGCATAGGAGTGGTCAGCATGAGAATCCTTGTCTTGTTGCAGTCTCAAGGGAATGTTTCCAGCTTTTTCCCATTCAGTAACATGTTGCCTGTGGGTTTTTCAAAGATGGCTCTTATTATTTTGAGGTATGTTCCATTGATGTCTACTTCGTTGAGGTTTTCTTAAAAATCATGAAAGGATGTTGTATTATATTGAAATCTTTTTTTTGCATCTATAGAGATGGTCATACAATTTTTGTTTTTAATTATGTGTATGTGGTGAATTACATTTGTTGACTTGTGTGTGTTGAATCAAATTTGTATCCCAGGAATGAAGCCTACTTTATCATGGTGAATTAACTTTGATATGTGCTATTGAATTTGATTTGCTAGTATTTTGTTAAGGATTTTTGGGTCTATGTTCATCAGGTGTATTGGCTTGTAGTTTTCTTTTCCTCACTCTGTCTTTGCCAGCTTTGCCAGGGCGATGCTGGCTTTGTAGAATGAGTTAGGCAGGAGTCCCTCCCATTCGATTTTTTGGAATAATTTTAGTAGAATTGGTACTAGCTCTTCCTTGTATGTCTGGCAGAATTTGGCTATGAATTCATCTGGTCCAGAGCTTTTTTTCATGGGTAGGGTTTTTTTTTTTTCTGATTCAATTTCAGAACTCGACATTGGTCTATTCAGTCTTTCAACCTTGGGAGGTTGTGTTTTTCCAAGAGTTTATGCTTTGCCTCTATATTTTCTAGTTCTTATGTGTAGAAGTGTTCATGATAGCCTCTGAGGATTTTTTGTATTTCTGTAGGATCAATTGCAATGTCATGTTTGTCATTTCTGATTGTACTTATTTGGTTCTCCTCTCTTTCTGCATTCTTAATTCAACTAGCAGTCTATGAATCTTGTTTATCCTTTGGTTTCATTGATTCTTTTTATGGATTTTTGGGTCTCAATTCTGTTCAGTTTGGCACAAGACCAGTATTTTTAGAGGCAATGTAATGCTCTGAGCCTGCACTCCATCCAAGGGAAATAAAAAAGCAAAAACAACAATATTTTTTCTGATTTTATGTGTGTATGTGTTTTTTTAAGTAGTTTAATTTGTGATTTAAAGTTCAGCAGCATTGTTGACACTTCTTTGCTCTTGCTCTTCGTTCACACATCCATTACATTTCCATGGATTGATTTTTTTTTAAAACATACTGTTGTAGAGCTTTTATTGTCGGAGGCTTGGATGACCCAGTAGCCTATGCTAACTATACTCCAAGTCTTCATTTTTTAATTTCTTCAACTTCCTGACTTCCATTATCAAGTTATTATTCACAAATCACATTTTTCTCCTCCTTCTCCCACTTGAAAAATTTTAGTCTTAGTGCCCATAAGACAGAATTTAAGTTTTATCATATAATCTTGCACAATTTATGATGACAGATCTTTCTCTTTTCCATCAACTTTACAGGACACATTTTTCTGCACTCCAATATATTTTTTGCTTTACGTAATACTACAAACATCTGGTACTTTCCTATTTCCATCTTTGATTTTACCAAAGTCCTCAACCTTTTCTTTCATATCCCTTCCTTTTCTTCTATTTAAACAATAGTTATTAGTCAAAATATGCAAATAAAATGGCACTGGTCCAGGAATGAGGTCATCTTTGTTTATCCTTGGCATTAAAGAAATTTTAAGAAACATTACAAACTACAAAAACAAAAGAATATGTCCTCAAAGACAAAGTCGATGTTCTCTTCTGTGCGATCTTAGTATGTTATTTTACTTGGTCTTGTTTCCTTATTTTAAAAATGGTATGCTCTAGCTGGGCATGGTGGCTCATGCCTGTAATTCCAACACTATGGGATGCTGAGGCGGGTGGATCACCTGAGGTCAGGAGTTAGAGACCAGCCTGGCCGACATGGTGAAACCCCATCTCTACTAAAAACACAAATATTAGTTGGTCATGGTGGCAGGCGCCTGTATCCCCAGCCACTCGGGAGGCTGAGGCAGGAGAATCTCTTGAACTCGGGAGGCAGAGGTTGCACTGACCCGAGATTGTGCCACTGCACTGCAGCCTGGGTGACAGAGCAAGACTCTGTCTCAAAAAAAAAAAAAAAAAAAAAAAAAAAAGGTATGCTCAGATTAGACTACGTCTGTCTTTGGCCCTACTTCTAATATTTTATTAATCTAGTCTCCTACATGAAATTTTCCTTGAATAATCCAGCAAAATTACTACTACCATTACCAAATTAATATTTTCAAATCATATTTAAATTCTCATAGCACTGCCTAAAGCTCCTCCTCTATTCACTTATTTAACACTTATTCTTTATTCCTCTGAATTACCAGCTTAAGTTTGCTGAAGACTGATATAACACTTCTAGTAGGATATATATACACTTCATAGGTCTTATCACTGTTCTGTACATAGAACAGGGACTCAAAAACAAGTTGTGTTTTTTGAGTTTAGAAAAACCAATAGGTAACTAATATTATTTGAAATTATTTCCATATAATTATAAAAAGTATTGGAAAGACGGGCTGGACAGCACCACCACCTCCCCTTCTTCATTTCTGTTCCAGGACACTTATTGTCAGCAGGAGAACTGAGATTTGTGGATGGGAATTTGTGTGAGAAATAGTAATTGTTCTTTCTAAATTCAGAGAGGCCACACAGAGTAGAGGAAAACCTCAGTACAAATGTTGCTACTAAATAGTATCTCTGAATTTTAGAGTTTACCTTGTTATGTTGGCAGGAAGTATAGCAACTAAGGATAAATGATATCAGCCATGTAGCAAGGTGTTCAATGATTGCACAATGAATTACAAAAGTAATGTTTCAAATTAGTTGGCAAAAGGTTCATATTTACTGAACATTTAAAATTTTTAACTTAATGCTGCCTTCCTTTTAGATTTATAATAATCTTATATTTACTATATTAATAGAGCAAAACAATAATTTGCATAATCTACTCAGACAAAAGTGAAAACTATTTCACACATGAAAAAGTAATTTATTAAAAAAATTTAATTATCAACAATCACAATTTAATTTTTTGGATGACTTGCTCACCTTATCAGAGCTTATTTTCCAGAGTGAAGCAATGGAGATGGTTTAATACAAATATAAGAAACATTTTGATATTAATAAGAGCTGATATAGATTCACTTCTAAATTGCCTACAAAGAGTTAAGAGAAATTCTGTAAAACAGCCACTCTGCATCATGTGATTTTCATTTTAGAAATATCTATATGCATCCAGGCACAGTGGCTCATACTTGTAACCTCAGCACTTTGAGAAGCTGAGGCAGGAGGAACGCTTAAGTCTTGGGGTTTGAGACCAGTATGGACAACACCGTGAGACCCTGTCTCTACAAAAAATTTAAAAATTAGCCAGACATAGTGGCATGTGCCTGTAGTCCCAAGTACTTAGGAGGCTGAGGTGGAAGGATCACTTGAGCCTGGGAGATCAAGGCTGCAGTGAGCGATCATCATGCCTTAGCACTTCAACCTAGGTGACAGAGTGAGACCCAGTCTAAAATAAATAAATAAAATCTATATTTATTTAGGCCAATTTCAAATTATGGTAAAAGAGAATCCAAACACATGATCGCTAGACTGAACTTTAATGATTAAATTTTGAAGGGTTTTTTTTAGAGTTTTTTAAGAAAAAAATGCTTAGCCAAAGTATTTTAGTGAGTCCCTTTCTTTGTGATTTAAATCTGTATAATATGACTTAGAAACAAAGGTGTTTAGCAGCACTTCTATTTTTTTCAGTGGTGTGAGCATAAACCACAAAGTATCCGGATATATTATGTTTTGAAGAGGTACTTTTGTAGTGATGAATCTTTATCGAGATATCTAACCCACCAAAAATGATGTGATAATAGTCTTTCTTTTATGTATTTTTTGAAACAACACATTCTTGATGTTTCTCCAATCCATCCTAGTAAACCAAGTAAAGTACCTAATGAAAAAATGAAAGACACATGAACGAAGTAGATGAGATCATTAGGGCCTACAAATCAAACAATGGCTATGAAATACAAAGCCAAGAGTGGGTCCATTAATGACTGTTAAAGTGACAGCTGGAGAAAAGATTGGGTCTCTTGAAGGATGAAATAGTTCAAGACAAAAAGAAAGACTGGTTCGTAAGTATCTACCTCAAGTTCAAGACTGGTGCAAAAATTACAATTATATAAAGGAATGATTATTCTCCATTACTGGTGTTTTACTTCATGTATCATTTTCCTTCTAACAACAGCCAACACAATTCTGAGAATTTAGTATGTTCTCAACAAATTCTTGACGAATTGGATTTAACTAAAACAATAACTTTATAAAACATCAATTTAATCATCTTTAATTAGAAAAATATGTTGGCAGTTTTAAAAATTTCAAAGTATAAGTTATTATTGCTTGTTTTTTTCTCATCACAAATTCAATTTATGTTGCATTGAAAGAGTCTGAAGTTGCAGGAACATGCAGAAATGGAAGTTGGACAAGATGACTGCTTAAATTCCTAAAAAGTACTTTATGGACATATCTGAGAAAATCATTGATCTACCCAAGTTTCAGCATTTTAGTAAAAGTACTGATTTTAAAATAATCAATTATTCCAGACCAATATATTTCACTCTAAAAGTTAAAAATAAATCAAGTCACTAAATTAATGTTTACTACTCAAAATTGAAATTTGATTACTATTAAATTAATGAACATATAGTCTATGTGCCTAACATATATTTCAAAACATTATCTTTTAAGTGCCATTAGGTCTAAATATAGGTTATTCTGTCCTCTTCATATAATGGTCCAAGGTATATAAACAGGAGTGTCTTGAAGTCATTGTATAAGTAGTTACCACTTAGAGGAACCATGTACATGACAATTTCAAGGGTGATCATGAGCTACTCTATATACTTACAGGAATAGTTAATTTGACTTTGTGATGGGGATTCAACTTTTAGTTCGATGCACATTAAAGATAATTTTAATACTGATGTTAGACTATCAGACATTACAATGCAAGATTTTATTGGGGGGCCTTTTGCTTAGGCTAATATGTAATTGCATGGTTGAAAAACTTATTTCAAATACTTACTTCAGGTCAAATAGCCTAAAAATACACCCTAATGATCATGCTTTTTGGGTGAGCAAGATGACCAAAGAGAATCTTCCAGCAATTGTTCCCTTACATGAACACTAAATTGAACAACTATTCACACAAGAAAGCACCTTCGTAAGAGCCAGAAATCAAGTGAGTGATCACAGTATCTGGTTTTGACATCATATCAAGGGAAAGGGCATTGAAGGGGCAATGAAGACATTCTTGCATTGTCTACAACACCCCTCTCCCATGCCCCAACAGTGCCATTTGGTGAGGAGAGAGAATCTGTGTGCTTAGGGAAGGGACAGAAAAGTAATTGTAGGACTTTGAATTGGAACTCAGTGTTGCTTTCTCACAGCAGGACACAACCAAGGGCAGTATTCTGACTATGCACGTGGAGGGAGTATTTAGACTAACCCTGGGTAGAGAGAAATCCTCTGCCCCACTGGAAAAAAACTAGAGATTTGGCTAGCTTTATGATTGGCTGACTAAAGTGGCCTGGGGTCCTGAAAAAATCTGGAAGACAGGCAACAAGGGTTGCAGTATTTGAGCAACACCTGGTGCTACAATGAGCTCAGAGCCAGTGGACTTAAAGAGCAGTGGGACACCAGCTGTGGCAGCCAAGGGAGTGCCTGTGTCACTCCTCTTGCAACTTAAGGCAGCGGAGAGACAGACCCCTTCTGATTGAGGAAAAGCGAGGGAAGAGTACAGAGAACATTGCCTTGAGACTGAAGTAGCAGCTTAGCCAGAGTAAAATAAAGGACCAAAGAAATTCCTGAGGCCCGTTTCCAGGCCCTAACTCCTGGACAACATTTCTAATCCCATCCTGGGCCAGAGGGGAACCTGATGCTCTGAATAGAAAGGCCCAATTCTGGCAGGATTCATCAGCTGATGACTAATGAGCTCCTGGACCTTGAATAAACATCAGTAGCCAGGAAATAATTGCCACAGGCCTTGGGTGAGACGCAGTATGGTGCTGGCTTCAGGTGTAACCCAGAACAGTCCTAGCAGCGGTGCCACAAAAGTGCTTGCATCACCCCTCCTCCAACTCCAGGCAGCTCAGCACAGACAGAGAGACTCCATTTGTTTGGGGGAAAATAAGGAAAGAGAACAATTCAGGGAGAATTCTACCTGGCAATTCAGGGAGAATTCTCTGGGACTTCACCCAAGACTACCACGGCAGTACCTTGATGAGTTGTCAAGGGCCACAGCATTACCAGGCTTGGGGTGCCCACAAAATGAACATACAGCTGCAGTAACCAGAGACTTAGATCACAACACTCAATTCCCTATGAATACTTGGAATGCCTTCTCAAAAAGACAGGTACAAACAAGTCTAGACTGTGAATATTAGAACAGACCTAACTCTTCAATGCCCAGACATCAATGAACATCTACAAACATCAAAACCATTCATGGAAATATGACCTCACCAAATGACGTAAATAAGGAACCAGTGAGCAATTCAAATGAGAGAGCTATGTAGACTTTCAGATAGATAATTTAAGGTAACTGTTATGAGGAAGCTTAATGAAGTCCAAGATAAGACAGGGAAAGAATACAGATTCTGATTAGAGAAATTTAGTAATTGGCACATGCTTACATGTTTAACAAACCTGCATATCCTGCACATGTACCCCTGAACTTAAAATAAAAATTGAAGAAAAAATAATAATTGCAAAGAATCAAGCAGAAATTCTAGAGCTGAAAAATGTAATTGACAATGTGACAAGTTTATTAGACCCTCAACAACATAATTGTTCAAGCAGAAGAAAGAATTAGTGAGCTTAAAGACAGTGTATTAGAAAATACTTGATCAGAAGAATCAAAAGAAAGGAGAATGAAAAAGAGGGAAGAATGCTTATAAGTTCTAGAAAATAGCCTTCAAAGGGCATATATGAAATATTGGCCTTAAAGAGGAGTCAGAGAGACAGAGACCAGGATAGAAAGTTTATTCCAAAAGATAATAACAGAGAACTTTCAAAACCTAGAGAAAGATATGCATATTCAAGTACAAGAAGTTATAGAGCACCAGGCAGATTTCACCCAAATAAGACTACCTCAAGGCATTTAATAACCAAGCTCCCAAAGGTCAAACATAAAGAAAGGATCCTGAAAGCAGAAAGATAAAATAAACAAATGACACATAAAGGAGTTACAGTATGTCTGGCAGCAGACTTCTCAGAGGAAACCTTACAGTCCAGGAGATAGTGGCATGATACATTCACAGTGTTGAGGGAAAAATAATTACATCCAAAAAATATCATTTCTGGCAAAAATATCCTTCAAACATGATGGTGATTGAAAGACTTTCCAAGACAAATGAAACCTAAAGGATTTTGTCAACACCAAACCTATTCTACAAGAAATACTAAATGGAGCTTTTTCAGTCTGAAAGAAAATATTTTTAATAAACAATAAAGAGTCTTCTGAAACTATAAAATTCACTGGTAACGGTTAGTATGGAGACAAATACAGAATACTTAAATGGTATAAATGTGTTATATAAACCACTCGTATCTTGAATAGTAAGACAAAAAGGCAAATCTACAAAAATAATAACCACAACAAATTATCAAGAGATAGATAGTGTAAAACGATGACAACCACAAAAAATCAAAATGTGGAATAGAGTTAAAGCATAGAGTTTTTTTTTTTACTTTTCTCTTTGCTGATTTATTTGTATGTTGTTGTGGTTGTTTTTTAATCAGAGTTAACCTGCTGTCAATTTAAACCAATTGATTATAAGATATTATTTACAAGCCTATGGCAACTTCAGTACAAAAAACCTACAACAGATACACAGAAAAAAAGCAAGAAATCATAACGTACTACCAGTAAAAAATCACTTTTACACAAAGGAAGATAAGAAGGAAAAAAGAAAGAAGGAGGGTTACAAAACAACTGGAAAACAAGTAAGAAAATGACAATAGTACATCCTTACCTGTCAATAATAACCTTGAATGTCATTGGCCTAAACACTCCAATCAAAACATATAGAGTGGCTGAATGGATAAGAAAGAATTCCCATCTATATGTTGTGTGCAAGATATTCACCTCACCTATAAACACACACATAGACTGAAAATAAAGGAATGGAAAGCAATGTTTCAGCAAAATAGAAATCACAGAAGAGCAGGAGTAGCCATACTTATATCAGATAAAATCTATTTCAAAATGAAAATATAAAAAGAGGCAAAGAAAATCATTACATAATGATAAACAGGTCAAGTGAGCAGTAATATATAACATTTACAAATAAATGTGCACGAAACAAAGGAGCACCCAGGTGCATAACACAAGAGAGAGATAGACCCCAATAAAATAATAGCTTGAGACCACAAAACTCCATTTTCTGCATTGGGCAGATCATCAAGACAGAAAATCAACAAACATTGGACTAAATCTACACTATAGGCCAAATATAATAGATATTTATAGAACATTTCATCTGACATCTGCAGAATATACATTCTCCTCAGCACATGGATCACTCTCAAGGATAGATCAGATATTAGGCCAAAAAAAAACAAGTCTTAAATTTTTTTAAAAAAATTGAAATTCTCTCAAGTATTTCTCTGACTACAATGCAATGAAACTAGAAATCAAAAACAAGAGGAACTTTAGAAACTATACAAACAAGTGGAAATTAAATAATACAATCCTGAATGACCAGTGAGTCAATTAAGAAATTAAGAAGAAAATTGAATAATTTATTGAAACAAATGGAAATGGAAATGCAACATAGCCAAACCTATGGGATATAGCAAAAGCAATATTAAGAGGAAAGTTTACAGCAATAATTGCCTACATCGAAAAAGTAGAAAAACTTCAAATAACAACCTAGTATGTATTTTAAGAAACTACAAAAGCAGGAGGAAATCAACCCAAAATTGGTAGAAGAAAAGAAATTACAAAGATCAGAGCAGAAATAAATGAAATTGAAACAAAAAATACAAAAGGTTAACAGGATGAAATGTTGGTATTTGAAAAGATTTAAAAAATTGACTAAGAACAAAAGAGAGAAGACACAAATAAATAAAATCAGAAACCAGAAAGAAGACATTAAAACTGATACCATAGAAACTCAAAGGATCATTAGCATTATGAACAACTGTGTGCCAATAAATTGGAAATTTGGAAGTAATAGACAAATTCTTAAACACATACAACCTACTAAGATGGAAGCATGAAGAAATCCAAAACTTAGACAAATAACAAGTAATGGGATAGAAGTACTAATAAAAAGTCTTCCATCAGTGAAAAGCCCAGGACATGATGGCTTCACTACTGAATTCTATCGAACATTTAAGTAAATATCACTAAACCTATTCACACTGTTCCAAAAGATTAAGGAGGAGGGAATACTTTCAAATTGATTCTAGTAGGCCAATAGTACTCTGATACCAAAACCATAAAAAGACACAACAATAACAACAGCAAAAAAAAAGAAAAAAACAACATGACAGGCCAATATAGCTGATGAACACAGATGCAAAAATTCTAAACAAAATACTAGGAAACTGAATTCAGCATCACATTAAAAAGATTATTCATCCTGATCAGATTCGATTCATCCTAGGGATATAAGGATAGTGCAACATATGCAAATCCATCAATGTGATACGTCCTAACAACAGAATGAAGGATAAAAATTATATGATTATTCCAATTAATAATGAAAATTTGTTTGATATAATTCAACATCCCTTCATGATATAAACTCTCAAAAAACTAGGTATAGAAGGAATATGCCTCAATATGATAAAAGCCATATACAACAGACCCACAGCAAGTATCATACTGAAAGGATAAAACCTGAAAACATTTTCTCTAGGATTTAAAAAGAGACAATGTTGCCCACTGTTATTCAACATAGTATTGGAAGTCCTAACTAATGCACTCAGACAAGAGAAAGATATAAAGGGCACCCAAATTAGAAAGGAAGAAGTCAAATTATCCTTGCTGGCAGACAATATAGTCTTACATATTTATTGAAACCTAAAGCCTCCACCAAAAAAACTATTAGAACTGATTAGCCACGGTGAAACCCCGTCTCTACTAAAAATACAAAAAAAAATTAGCCGGGCGAGGTGGCGGGCGCCTGTAGTCCCAGCTACTCGGGAGGCTGAGGCAGGAGAATGGCGTGAACCCCAGGGGGCGGAGCCTGCAGTGAGCCGAGATTGCGCCACTGCACTCCAGCCTGGGCGACAGCGAGACTCCGTCTCAAAAAAAAAAAAAAAAAAAAAGGAACTGATTAGCAAATTCAGTAAAGTTGCAGGATACAAAATCAATTTACAAAAATCAGTAGCATTTCTATATGTTAATAGCAAGCCATATGAAAAATAAAGAAAGTAATCCCATTAACAATAGCTACAAATAAAATAAAATACCTTAGAATGAACCTAACCAAAGAAGTCAAAGATTTCTAAAATTAAAGCTATAAAATATTGATGCAAGAAATTCAAGGGAAAACACCAGAAATAGAAAGATATTTTGTGTTTATGTATTAGAAGATTCTATGTTGTTAAAATGTCCATACAACCCAAAGCAATTTGTAGATTCAATGTGATCCCCACCAAAATACCAATGACATTCTTCATGGAAATACAAAAAAAATCCTAAAATTAATGTGGAACCATAAAAGACTGAGAATATCCAAAGTTATTCTGAGCAAAAAGAAGAAAACCAGAGGAATCACATTACCTGACTTCTGATTATACTACAAAGTTATTGTAATCAAAACAGCATGGTACTAGCATAAAAACAGACAGACTAATGAAACAGAATAAAGAACGCAGAAATTACTTCCATACATCTACAGTGAACTCATTTTTGACAAAAGTTCCAAGTACATACCTTAGGAAAAGGGTGGTCTCTTCAATAAATGGTGCTGGAAAAACTATATATCCATGTGCAGCTGAATAGACCTCTCTCTCTTTCTCTCACTATATAGAAAAATCAATTCAAAATGGATTAAATACTTAAATCTAACACCTAAAACTATGAAACTACTAAAAAAACATTGGGGAAGCTCTTTAGGACATTAGTCTAGGCAAGGATTTCTTGAGTAATACTCCAAAAGCACAGGAAAACAAAGCAAAAATGAACAAATGGGATCACATCAATTTAAAAGCTCTGTACAGCAAAGGATACAGTCAACAAAGTGAAGAGACAACCCATATAATGGGAGAAATATTTGCAAACTACCCCTCTAGGAATGGATTAATAACCAGATTATATAAAGAGCTCAAACAACTCAATAGAAAAGAATTTAATAATCCAATTTTAAAATGGGCAAAATATCTGAATAGACATTTTTCAAAAGAAGACATACAAATGGCAAACAGGTATATGAAAAGGTGCTCAACATCATTCATTGTCAGAGAAATGGAAATCAAACCACAATGAGATATCATCTCACCCCTGTTAAAATGGCTTTTATCCAAAAGACAAGCAATAATGAATGCTGATGAGGATGTGGAGTAAGTGGAACCCTCATACACTGTTGACAGGAATAAAAATTAGTACAGCCACAATGTACTAGTTTACAGAATGAGGTATGAGTATGAGAACAGTATGAGGTTCCTCAAGAAACTAAAATCGGAATCACCATGTGATCCAGCAATCTCACTGCTAGATAAATATCTATTTAAAAAGGAAATCATATATTGAAGAGATTATTATCTGCACGCCCATGTATATTGCAGCACTAGTCACAATAGCCAAGATTTGAAATCAATCTTAGTGTTCATCAACAGATAAATGGATAAAGAAAATGTGGAATGGAGTGTTACTGAGATACAAAAAAGAATGAAATCCCGTCATTTGCAACAACATGGATGGAACTGGAGGACATTACACTGAATGAAATAAGCCAAGTACTGAAAGACAAATTTCACTTGTTCTCACACATATGTTGTAACTAAATTTAAAATGACTGAATTCGTGGCGATAGTGTAATGCGGTGGGGGATAAAGTAGAGATGGTTAGTGGGTAAAAAAATATAGTTAGATAGAATGAATAAGATCTAGTATTTCACATCACAACAGGGTGATGATAGTCAACATTTATTGTAGCTTTAAAATAACTAAAGAGTATGATTTGAATGTTTCTACCACAAATAATTGATAAATGCTTGAAGTGATGGATACCCCAACTACCCTGATATAATTATTACACATTGTATGCTTATATCAAAACATCACATATACTCCATAAGTATGTACACCTATTATGTACCCATAATAATTAAAAATAATTTTTTAAAAAATTATGCTTTCTCCTGCAGAGAATGCTAGTCAATGTGTTATAAGGAATTTAATGAAGAAATATAAAACCAAATACTGCATGTTCTCACTTGTAAGTGAGAGATAAATGATGAGAATACATAGATACAGAGGGGAACAACAGATGCTGGGGCCTCCCAGAGGGTACAGGATGGAGGTTGGGAGGAGGGAAAGGATCAGGAAATATAACTAATGGGTACTGGACTTAATACCTGGTGATGAAACTACATGTACAACAAATCCCCGTGACATGGATTTACCTATATAACAAAACTGCACAAGTACCCCTTAACTTAAAAATTAAAAAGAAATAATTCAAAATATTTGCATCCACAGTTTATTTAAATATATATTATACCAAATGCAAATTACTTTTAGATGAATTTTATTATTTTATTATTAAAATATGTAAATTGTACAAAAACACTTAGGTATAACATAAATTTCTATTCTACATACTCTTATACACACTTAAAATGACGTGTTCACAGAAAATTCGAATTATCTGAACAACATATTATTAACTCATTTTTACATAAGAATTGAAAATTAACCACCATATTCAAGATACTTGAGGGTATAAGTACAAAAGCGCCTCACTACAATATTATTTTGTGCCTCATATTTACAGATTATTATGACTTTCAAGTTGCATTCATACCTGTTGTCCATTTGAGGGCAAGCACTGAGTCTGGTTATTTTTCTTCCTGCTTCCCAGCCTAGAATTTGGTCCATTATATTCTTTCAGAAAATGTTTGTTAAATGTACATAAAAGAATGAATAGGACAACAAGAAATGACTTTCTAGCACAATATCCTGCCAGAAGGCAGCTATTTTTATTTCCATTCTATAAAGAGGAAGTGAGGACACTCAGAAGTTGGCTGACCTAACAGGTGTTTTCGTTTGAGACTGTAAGTTGATTTCATCCCAAGGTTCAATTGTCCAGTGAGTGTCATTTTCAGTGATCTACTTGCATAAGAAATGGAGGAGGATTCTGGGAAGAAGATATTCTAGGAAAAGAGATAATAAATTTGCACAAGTTGTGTGCAAGAGTAATATCACGACCAACAAACACATGACAACAGTTTGTGAATATTTAATATATACAGGGCACAGGAATAATGAGTTTACCTTCATTTCTCATGTACCTGACACTAAATGATTTCCAAAGTGTATTGCCATATAATTTTCACTACAACTTTATCAAGTAGATGCCATAGGGAGGGACCAGTTTTATGGATGACATGTCTGTAGGTAGTAGACAGTTACTATGAACTTTGATAGGAGACTTGTCAATGTCGCTTGGGTGCTGGTCATCCACACCCATAGTGTTCCTGGTATAGGAGGAGAAGATTGGCTGTGACCACTACGGAGCAGATTCTGATAGTGTCTATGCTGGAATGTGGCTCTGCTCAGACAGTTATAGGGTCTCTGCTGTAAAGAAGTGTAATGATTTACCAAAATCCTAAGAGGGGAATAGCTAAGTCCCAGCTTGAGTGAGACCAGTTTATGTTCTAAGGCATATCAGAGGTCTTTGTCAGGGATACATAGGGCTGACTACCCCATGACTTCTCAGAAGTTAAATACAGACTCTGACTCCTTATTTATGACTAAGGTGCTAAATCTAGTGGGCACAAGTTCTTCTATCCCTGACTCATGGTTGCTAAGGACTGGGATTTCAGCCCTTTCCATGAAGCCAAGAAGTTCCAATTTTCACCTAGAATTCCAAAAAAGGAAAGCAATCAGCCAGTCTTCTGTTTTTTTTTCTTTTTTAAAAAAAGTAGATTTAAAGAGACTAAATGAAAGGTCACAAGGTTATAAAAGTGAGGTATCTACAGTTAATCTTAGTTACTCACAAACCTTGCTGTTTGCTCTGCTCTATCAACAATCTTCTTGGAAAATTATGTGAAGCTGCTGCCCTTACATTCAGTGTCCTGTGACTTTCATCTGTCTATTTATGGGAAAGTGGTACAGCCACAATGATATCAGATTGAGTTAGTTAAACTTCTCCCGGGTCAATAGTTTGTTCAGTTACTGATGTGTAGTGTCTCAATTGACAGATTCAGGGAGCCCATACTAATAGTTTAATGAATTATATTAGGAATATAAGTAACTCAATGACAGAGAAGGAAGGAAGAAACCAGTCAGGCAGGGTAGGTCTTCATTAAAACACCTTCAAACCAAGAACAGCCTGAAAATCAAGCTGTAGGCCCCAGATAAGAAAGAGCCCACACCAGCAAAACTCCTTCACTTCAGCTCCTTCACTTCAGACCCTGACTGGTCCTGGATCAAGCTCCGGGGCCAAGCCCTCACTTCAGCCCCTGATTTGTCCCAGGCCAATGTCCCATGCCATGCCTTCACTTCAGCCCAAAGTGGTCTTTTACACTATGGTGCCTCTTTCTGGGTGGTGCTTTCTTCAAGACAGTCCACAGACCAGTTAACACACTCCTGTCCCTTCACAGTCTGCAAAATTTCTGAACTTAGCCCCACAGCTAGCAACCCTCTTTCGGGTCCCCTCTCTTTGCTGAGAGTTTTCTGTTGCTTAATAAATTCAAATATTCCTTACTCACTATCTGGTGTCTGTGTGCCTTATTCTTCTTGGTCATGGGACAGGAATCAGGAGCTCACCTGCAGTGGGAGTAAAAGAGCTGTAACACTCCCCTCCCACCCACTGCACAAGAACAAAAAAGTTGCAACACCATGACATTGGAAAACGTCAAAGAGAATTATTTCTTATGTTTCTATAAAGACCAATTTACAACATCTATTTAGAGACAGATGAAGGGATCACACACACACCAAATTCTGGTTTTTTGTTTGTTTGTTTGTTTTGTTTTTACTTTGATTGTTTTGTTTCGGAATGCTGGAAGTAGGCAACTGGGATCTATCCCAGGAGAGAAATGTACATACTCTTGCAAATGCCTCTCCCTTTCTCTCCCCATCCAAGAAAAGGATTCTTCATAATTTGGAATAAAGACTGTCATTGGTTATACTAAGGGGAAGTATAAGAAGACCCCAAAAGGAGGACTCACATCTTAAACCTATAATACAACTATGTTGGGAAGACTTTCAATGAAGCCCAATAAATAAATAAGCCCACATGAGCTGGAAAGAATAATGTATTGGAAAAACATTCTCCTCTTTAATATCCTAAGATGCTACCATTGGTCATTTGTTTCTTTGTGAACGAGGCTTCCCTACTGTATTTTGGGATTGAAATGATAATGGGATACTTAGGGTAAAGTCTTCCCATTATTATTTTTCTTCTAGTGAAGGAATTTTATTTTCTGTGGTATTTAATTTTACTTTAGAATTTAAATAGGTCTACCACACTGCAGTAAAAATGCATAGATAACAGAATTAATCAAAATAACTTGGAAGAATAAAATGTGGCATAAAATCTTAACATAGCTGAGAGTTTTAAGTTATTCTGTAGAGGAGGGTGAGGAAAAAAAACAGTTTTGGAAAATTACCATAAAACATTGAAAGTAAAATAAGGAATGTTTTTGATATAGCTTCAAGGAATAATCACATGTTTTTACTTACAGTAAGATTTCATAAATTCTTATTTCATTACAATACTGTATTTTATAAAAAAAAACTGAACACCACACAAATATCTGTAACTTAAAAAATATTCGTTGTTACCCGAGCTTTAGTACTATAATATTTAGCAAAAAAAAAAAAAATGACTATAGCTGATGACTTTATGTCATTAGCTACCCCTGAAGTTGCTGAAAAAATGAAGTGTTAAGAGATAAAGTTGGAATTTGGTAGAAGACTCCAGGAATAAAGGTATTTATTTGTGGCGGGGAGGGGATATCTGTCAGATCTCTATAGTGCAGAGAATTTTACAGAGGTGACCTGACACTCTTTTCCATCAAAGCAATGAGTGGCAAACTCTCTCAGCTGGATATCTGGACTTTGTGAGTCTTTATCTTCACCAATATAAAATCTATCATGTAGTCAAATTATGATATTATTTTAATATTTTAGTGCCAGAAGACTGATGCATATTTACAAACTAAGTCAGCTGGCTGAATTACACAACAGAATTTTATAATTTTAAAAGAAAGAAAGGAAAAGGCACTATAGGCAATAAAACACTATGAAGTTGTGGTCAAAATAATTAAGTCACTTGTACTGTGTTCACCCTTAATGAAAGTATGCATAATCCTCTCTACCAACTAATAAAACCTTGTATGGAACGCCTAAGCCTGCTACAGATAGGTGGTAACATTAATCCTCTGTTGTGAGAAATAATTAAACTTCAGTAAATTACTCTAAAACCAAGCACCAAAAACATATCAAAGAGATTATAAACTACAAAAAAGGGCACTTTGTGGTGTGGGTTTAAAAGATGATGTAGCCAAATTAGAAGACTTACAATGGAAATTGTAGCTATTTTCCTATTCAGTATTATTTCACCCTACAATAACTTTAACCATTTTCAATTAATGTGGGGTGTGCCTCTCAAAGCAATTTTAGGGTATGTCTTGTTTAATGCACATTAAAGACCAAAAAACTTGTCTAAGTTGCATGATAAAAAATGTTCAAAAAAAATGTGATTCGAGCCCAGCCTGGCCAATATGGTGAAACCCCGTCTCTACTAAAAATACAAAAAAATTAGCCAGGCATGGTAGTACGTGGCAGTAATTCCATCTACTTGGGAGGCTGAGGCAGGATAATTGCTTGAATCCAGGATGCAGAGGTTGCAGTGAGCCAAGATCATGCCACTGAACTCCAGCCTGGGTGACAGAGTGGAACTCCATCTGAAAAAAAAAAAAATACTAGCATTTCCAGAACTTTGTCAGAATGTTCAATGCTTACTGAAATAATTCCTGTGACCTTTCCTACTCTACCTAAAATTCTAAATAAATTTGGGGAAGGGAAGCTTATGGAATGGAGTGGTGTGGGGTAAAACATTCAAATAAATATGCCTGACAATTGAATTGAAAATTTTTGCTTGTTTATATATATAGTATATACTGAGAATCACTGGGCAGGTAAATTAAAGTGATTATAAAATCTGGGTTTATGGTTACATAATAATCATTGTTTAAGTAAATTGATGTTATAAGATTGCCAAGTGCTTAAAATAATTTATCAAGCAAAGTAGACATGGGGCCTTGAAAGAAGAATGCTGAAGCCAAATAAGAAAAAGATACATAAATATTACAACCTTTTCAATTTCAAGCCTCTACTTGACAATAATACAAGACACATCATTAATCTAACAATCCTCTAATGCCCAGCCTTGCACTCACACTCCATACTTATTCCAAATTTTACACTTTTATTGAAGAAACATAATAGTGCAATAGAAAATTTAAATTTTACACTTTAAACAATAAAAAGAAAATGATGCTATTGAAGAAACTAACAGTGTTGTATGGGAAAAACTTAGAAATTCTTCTAGAATCCAAAAACAATGATAAATGGTATAAAATATGCCAATGATGAATAAAATAATGTTTTTGATGAAATAAGAATAAATAGAAGTATATTCTAAGATATAATAGAAGAAAACACATTTAAGGTGAAAATCTGAGACAAAAAGTCTCAGAAGCGAATTTTTGCCTCCAGATAGTAAATGGATGATATTGTTTGGCTCTGTGTCTCCATCAAAATCACCCCTTAAATTGTAATCTTCATAATCATGTCAAGGGTGAGAGCAGGTGGAGGTAATTGGATCATGGGGGTGGTTTCTCCCATGTGTTCTCATGATAATGAGTGAATCTCACAAGATCTGATGATTTTATAAGCGTCTGGCATTTTCCCTGCTTGTATTCACTCTGTCCAACCACCCTGTGAAGAAGGTGCCTGCTTCTCCTTTGCCTTCTGCCATGATTGTAAGTTTCCTGAGGCCTCCCCAGCAATGAGGAACTGTGAGTCAATTAAAACTCTTTCCTTTATAAATTATCCAGTCTCAGGTATTTCTTCATAGCAGTGTGAGAGCAGACTAATACAGTAAATTGGTACTGAGGTAGTGGGGAGCTGCTGTAAAGATACCTGAAAACGTAGAAGCAACTTTGGAACTGTCTAACAGACAGAGGTTGAAACAGTTTGGAGGGCTCAGAAGAAGACAGAATAATGTGAGGAACTTCCTAGAGATTTGTTGAATGGTTTTCACCAAAATGCTGATAGTGATATGGACAATGAAGTCCAGGCTGAGGTGGTCTCAGATGGAGATGAGGAACTTCTTGAGAACTGGGACAAATGTGACTCTTGCTATGCTTTAGCAAAGAGACTGGTGGCATTTTGCCCCTGCCCTACAGATCTGTGAAACTTTGAACTTGAGAGGCTTGATTTAGGATATCTGGTGGAAGAAATTTCTAAGCAGCAAAGCATTCAAGAGGTGACAGAGCATAAAAGTTTGGAAAATTTGCAGCCAGACAATATAGTAGAAAAGAAAAACCCATTTTCTGGGGAGAAATTCAAGCTGGCTACAGAAATTTGCATAAGTAACAAGGAGCTGAATGCTAATCACCAGGACAAGGAGGAAAATGTCTCCAGGGCATGTAAAGACCTTTGTAGTAGCCCCTCCCATCACAGGCCCAGAGGACTAGGAGGGGAAAATGATTTAATGGGCTGGGTCCAGGGCCCCCATGCTCTGTGCAGCCTTGGGACATGGTGTCCTGCACCCCAGCTGCTTCAACTCCAGCCATGGCCAAAAGGGGCCAAGGTACAGCTCAAGCCATGCCTCAGAGGGTGCAAGCCCCAAGCCTTGGCAGTTTCCACATGGTATTAAGCCTGTGGGTGCATGTAAGTCAACAATTGAGGTTTAGGAAACTCTGCCTAGATTTCAAAGGATAAGAAGTTTGCTGCAGGAGCTGAGCCCTCATGGAGAATCCGTACCAGGGCAGTGGAGAAGGGAAATGTGGGGTTGGAGCCTCACACAGAGTCCCCACTAGGGCATTGACTAGTGGAGCTATGAGAAAAGGGCCACCGTCCTCCAGACCCCAGAATGGCTGATCCACCAAAAGCTTGCACCATGTGCCTGGAAAAGCCACAGACACTCAACGCCAGCCTGTGAAAGCAATGGGAGTGGGGCTGTACTCTGCAAACCACAGGAGCAGAGCTTCCCAAGGCCATGGGAGCCCACCTCTTGCATCAGCATGCCCTGATGTGAGACAGAGTCAAAGGAGATCATTTTGGAACTTTAAGGTTTAATGACTGCCCTATTTGATTTTGGACTTGCATGTGGCCTATATCCCCTTTGTTCTGGCCAATTTATCCCATTTGTAATGGGTGTATTTATCCAATGACTGTACCCCCATCATATCTAGGAAGTAACTAACTTGCTTTTGATTATGTAGGCTCATAGATGGAAGGGACTTGCCTTGTCTCAGATGAGACTTTGGACTGTGGACTTTTGAGTTAATGCTGGAATGAGTTAAGACTTTGGGGAACTATTGGAAGAGCATGATTGTGTTTTGAAATGTGAGGATATGAGATTTGGGAGGGTCCAGGGGCAGAATGATATGGTTTGGCTTGGCTGTGTGCCCCCACTCAATTCTCACCTTGAATTGTAATCCCCAGAATACCCAAGTGTCAAGTGCAGGGCCAAGTGGAGGTAATTGGATCAGTTTCCCCTATGCTTGTGATAATAAGTGAGTTTCACAAGGTCTGATGGTTTTATAAGCATCGTGCATTTCCCTAGCTTGCACTCACTCCATTTTACCACCCTGTGAAGAAGGTGCCTGCTTCTCCTTTGCCTTCCACCATGATTGTAAGTTTCCTGAAGCCTCCCCAGTAATGCAGAACTGTGAGTCAATTAATCCTCTTTCCTTTATAAATTACCCAGTCTTGGGTATTTCTTCATAGCAGTGTGAAAATGAACTAATACAATGGAGTAGATTGCAAAAAATACTCAACTGAAAACAATTTAGAAGTCAATATAATACAAACATCACATATGTAAAGTTACTGGACAGCTAATGAATCAAGCAGGACCAAAAGTGCTGATTCAAAATGAAATGACCTTTGCTATCTGCTTTCTCTAGGGCATCTTCTTATTCTGAACACTGGCAAGAGATCAAGAATGTGGGCTTTTAATGAGTAGAAGGTTCCTCATAAGGAGGAAAGAAACAGCAAAAAATAGTCTTGAAAAGTGGGAATATGAGACTTCAGGTGCCTCATACCCATGTCTGTTTTCTTATCAAAATACTTTCTCAATGCTGAAGTTGTATGTGTGGGAAACTAAAGAAATAAACCACAAACCTCTGTGTTCATTTACTATTGCTGCTATAAAACCACCACAAATTTAGTGGGTTAAAACAACACAAATTTCTTATCTCACAGTTTTGGAGCTCAGAAGTTTATAAAGGGGTCTCACTGGATTAAATTCAAAGTAGCAGGTATGCATACCTTCCTTGCAGGTTTAGAAGAGAATGTGTTTTTATTCCTATTCAGTTTCTAGGGGCTATCTACATTTTTTGGCTCATAAACCCCTTCCATCTCAAAACCTAGCAATGGCTGGTTGAGTCTCACAAGGGAATCACTCAGGTTCTGACTCTTCTGCCTCCCTCTTTTCTAATTGTGGACCCTTGTGATTACATTGGGCCCACTTGAATAATCCAGTATAATCTCCTTATCTTAAATTCAGCTGATTAGCAAACACAATTCCTTCTTGCCACATAACATAACAAATTAATGGGTTCTGGTGATTAGAATATGGACATCTTTGGGGGTACAGTATTTTGGCTTATCATCACCTCTGAAAATCCGAACAGTTTTCTGCTGGGAAAATGGATTCAATTCAAGACCTCCAATGAGAACACACCCTGTAGAATACTTCAGCCTCTCAACTAAAAACCCAAAAAAGCAGACTGCATTTCAGAAATGGAGGCCAGAGGTTGACTGACTTTTGTCTAAAGAGTAACTCAACCCAATTCAGATATCCTTCGATTTGAGATATTCAGCCTCCACTCTGTCTAGGAGAAGAAAGGAGAAGAAACCCTCTCTAGCAGAAAATAACATCCTCTTGAGCTTCTATAATTTTTAGACACTACTTCTCACATGCATTCAAAAATTACTGGGCATGTTAAGAGACAGTGCCATATGACCAAAAACCAAAAAAGGAAAAGAAACAAAAGCATGGATGATTTAGACATTGACATTAGCAGACAAAAGCTTTGAAATAACTATGAGCAAATTGTGTAATGAAATAGATAAAAGGAAAGAATTATAATCAGTCTTCCTTCTGAAAATACAGTATCTCAAATTGAGAATTTATAGATGGGTTACTGTAGAAGACAGTGTTAGTTAACTCAGATTGACAGAAAATATCTACATTCTGTAAGCAGACTAAAGAGAAATTTCCTCCAAAGTGATGATATTTTTAGGCAAACAAAAAGCTGAGAGACTTCATTATCATCAGACGTGTACTGAGAGCAATATTATAAGGAGCTGTTATTGCAAAAGGAAAATCTGATGGAAAAGTAGAATACAGGAAAAGAATAAAGAGAAAGAGAATGAGAAATTTGTGGAGCCGAATCAATAAATATATACATACATACTATAACATAGAAGTAAGTGTTTTAATCACATTAACAACAAAATGAAAATAAGATATTTTTAAAAATGCAATGACCCTCTATACAAGTCATTTTGAAGGTCATAACATTTAGACAAATGGAAAGGTAGAACATACTTTTGGGAAAATATTTAACATTTATTATCATAAAAATACTCATTTACAATTAATAAAAAATAATTATTTGTAAATCAGACAAAAGAGAAGAAAATCAGTTTTACAATATAAAAATACTTAAAAACTAGTATTGTTTAAAATAAAATAACATTAAGCATATTTTCTAATAAAATTTACACATTAAATAATAAAAACAAAATACCTCAACTATCTTTTTACTGAAACAATTGGCCACAATATATAATATCTAAGTAATGGATGTTATATTCAAAGTGGCATTATTTGGGAAGCCTACAGAAACTAGAAATATTATACATTGGGAATCTTTTTTTATAATGTAAGTCATTGAAGGCATAGATTACTATAGATATAGAAGGAAGAACAAAGGAAAGTAGGGCTGTAATGAAAATGAAGTAAAACAAAAAGCAAGGTACAATCAATATGTGTAATATAAATATGTTTATGTAAGTTTTCCGGAAGTATATACAGGAAACTGCTGAAGATCTTTACTTTTTAGTAATGAAGCTCAGGCTAGGGGGAACTTTCTTAAAAATGAGTAAAAATTATTTTTTTATTCTTCATTTTAAATGCTTTTGTATTTTTAAAAAAGCTGTCACTTTGAAAATAATAATTTCAATAAAAAGAAAGATGAATAGAAAATGCAAAGGGTATATTAAATTTTGTGTCACTTTGGAGTTATTTGCTGGACAGTGTGATGAGAAAATATTTAAAGATATCCTCAGCAGTACTGGAATATGATGTGGATACAACTGAAGTGGTACTTCACTCGTGAGTGGGGCTTATTCATGAGAAATGTGATGGGCCACAGAAAACTGGCCTGAAAAACCAACTAGCTCGAGACTTTTCCCAACCCTCAAATAACTGTTCAGTTTAGTGTCAAAGTTTCACTGTGAAGCAGCACATGGAGGAATGGCCGTCATTGATATGCACTGCTTGTTTTCTAGAAATCAAACTTGAGCTCACAAGAGCAGCTGACAATAATGGATGTTTTAGTGGGTAAGTGTAGTCTTGGCGTGAGATCTTGTCTTTATATCTTCCTGCATTATAACCTACCGTAACCTAATGTAACATTAAAACATCTCAAAAAAAGACAATCTGGAGCTCTAAAAAATTTAATAGACCATGAAATAATGTGGTTTCCTTAGGGACAGAACGGGATGTAGTCATCTTGGTATTAAATCGCATTTTCTTTCATTTGATCAGTGGTTTAAGTGTCGAACAAGAAAAAAAGACTTCAGGTAAAAACTTCCCTTACATTTAATACAATTTGCCCCCTACATTCACATTTTGAATACCCTAAAGAAAGAAAAGAAAATATCACTAGTGGAAATATGATAGAAAATTAAAATTAAAGATACAGTAAACATACTTAAGAAATTCTGGAGTCTTTTTAGGTCTATTTTTTTCTGTGATGTTACTGTGTAACATCAATATATTTCCAAAGGAGTAAAAAAAAAGTCAAAGCAAAAACAGAAACAAAATCTGTGTATTCCATGGCTTAAAGAGAACTACCACCATCAGGAAAAACTGTAATACTTCTGAACTTCAATCTACTAAATGTATTTATTTATTTATTTAGACAGTCTCACTCTGTCACCCAGGCTGAAGTGCAGTAGTATGATCTTGGGTCACTGCAAACTCTGCTTCACAGGCTCAAGCGATTCTCATGATTCAGCCTCCCAAGTAGCTGGGATTACAGGCATGTGTCAGCACGCCTGGCTATTTTTTGTGTTTTTAGTAGAGATGGGGTTTCACCACGTTGGCCAGGCTGGTCTCTAAGCCCTGGCCTCAAGTGATCCACTCACAGTGGCTTCCCAAAGTGCTGGGATTATAGGCATGAGCCACTGTACCCATCAAAATCTACTGTGTTTAAACACTGACAGGAAAAGATAAGGAGGACCTGTAATGTCATTCTACTCCATTGATAGAGGAACGCAGATTCCTTTCCTTCTGCTCCTCACCATTTTAAAATTACTCATTTTGGAACTCGGGATGCAACCCTGAATGAAGGAAAAAGGAAGTAAAAATGATGGAGAGCCAAAGAACATGGTATGAGGGATATTTTGTGGTGAGACTTTGAATTTAGGCAGTTCTTTTCATTTAGCAAATGCCGGGGTACAATAGAAGAAGGAGAAAGTCAGTTGCTGATATGGTTTGGCCCTGTGTCCCCACCCAAATGTCATGTTAGTTTGTAATCCCCAATACTGGGGGAGGGACCTGGTGGGAGGTGATTAGATTATGGAGGCAAATTTCCCCTGTTGTTATCGTGATAGTGAATTATTACCAGATCTGGTTGTTTGCAAGTGTGTAACACTTCCCCCTTTGCTTTCTCTCTCTCCCATCACCATGTGAAGATGTACCTGCTTCCCCTTCGCCTTCCACCATGATTATAAGTTTCCTGAGGCTTCTTCAGCCATGCAGAACTATTAGTCAAGTAAACCTCTTTTCTTCATGAATTACCCAGTCTCAGGTAGTCCTTTATAGCAATGTGAGAATGTACTAATACAGTTGATATGTATTTATCCTATGGTCAAGGGAATGAGATAAAGGGGCCCTATGGATTTAAATTGTCCAATCCTGCTCACCAGACTGTGAAAGAAAGTGATGAAGGTTTAACAATAAAGATATATGTGTGTGTGTGTGTATGTGTATAGCTATATAAAAACTATATATAGTATACATGTATATAGTATACATGTGTACATATATACACACACATCTTTATTGTTACACATTTATCACTTGTGTGTACACACACACACACACAGACATATGCAAAACATATGTAGAAAAGTGTATAAAACTTTTTTCCTTACCAATAACTTTTTCTCAACCAATCTAAGTCCCCATCCTCCATACAGGAAGAAGCTATTTCTGTTAAACAGAAATTTTGATAAGCCATGTGGAGTAGTATATTAGAGATCAAAGAGGCACTCTTAAGTGACCATTGATGCTCCCAGACAAAGTGACAATTGATGAGCCTATCTATCATTTGAATGGAGAATATAAGGTGAAATCAGAGCAGAATTATTCAAAACCTGAGAAACAAGTTTATATTACACGTAAGGGAGGAAGAAAGAGAAATGAGATGGCTAGTGAACTTGAGACAAAAAAATCCACAATCCTGAGAAAGCATATTAAGTTTTGCACTTGGGTACATAGTGAAATCTTGCTATTCTCCTTCTATATAAAATCTCATTAAAACAGCATTATTTGCTAATGCATTGTGATGTTAAATGTGTTTAGAATAGTGAGTAGAGTATCCAGGTGGTTTGGAGTGAAGTGGAGACCATCTGTAAGAGCGTTGTCACATTTTGGTTATGCAGGGGCAGAAGTTCTGTTCAGTAAAACACTTAGGCAATGTTTTTCTATTCCTCCTCTTCCCAGACACAGAGCAGCCTTGCTCTCTCCCTTCCATTCCTGTCAAAGCTGCTCTAAGGAAAGGCTTTGACACTGATCAGTTACAACATAGTATGAATTAAACATAGTGTGCTCTTTTTGAGGTAGTGTCACTAAAAATGTTACTTGAATCATGAAATGAAATGTACCCATGCCTACTTTACATAGCACTAGATATCAGTGAGATACACAAATCTTTTGATAGAATTATATATTTAGGATAAGAAACAAGTAAACCTTTCTATTCTACTTCTTAAACAATTCTTTTCAACAGCTTATTATTAATGTCACACTAACTCAATATAATCAATCAATCCCTACACTGCCTGGGAAGAGAAGTTGGATTTCCAGAGTATTATTTGATCTGAGAACCTCATGTGAGATTTACCAGAATCCACCAGCAAGACGCCATCTCCACTGAGTGGGGTTAGAATTTACAGTAGGAACACCAGTTATCCTGCAACTTGTAGTGTGCCCTTCCCAAAAAAGTGAGTAATGTTGAAATTTAGGAATTCCAACTCCCACCATTTCACTCTCAATCCCATTTCTCAATGACTTTAGTTGTGCAAAGTTAACTCTTCAAAAGGGAAGTGTGGTTTCTTGTCTTTTCTCCCCTTGGGAAATTCTTCTTTTCTAGGAAAAAGGGGAAAAATTAACAGTTCTCTTAGACACAGCTGATTATTTTATAAATCAAACATCCAGAAGAAGTATAGCATGTTCACTGTAAAAGTACCAACATAATGTTGGTACTATTTTTCTTACTGCCTTTGAAATAGAATAGGAGATAAAAAGTTAAATGATTATCAAAACAGAGATATAGATCAATGGAATAGAACAGAGCTCTCAGAAATAACGCCGCATATCTACAACTATCTGATCTTTGACAAACCTGAGAAAAACAAGCAATGGGGAAAGGATTCCCTATTTAATAAATGGTGCTGGGAAAACTGGCTAGCCATATGTAGAAAGCTGAAACTGGATCCCTTCCTTACACCTTATACAAAAATCAATTCAAGATGGATTAAAGATTTAAACGTTAGACCTAAAACCATAAAAACCCTAGAAGAAAACCTAGGCATTACCATTCAGGACATAGGCATGGGCAAGGACTTCATGTCCAAAACACCAAAAGCAGTGGCAACAAAAGACAAAATTGACAAATGGGATCTAATTAAACTAAAGAGCTTCTGCACAGCAAAAGAAACTACCATCAGAGTGAACAGGCAACCTACAAAATGGGAGAAAATTTTCGCAACCTACTCATCTGACAAAGGGCTAATATCCAGAATCTACAATGAACTCAAACAAATTTACAAGAAAAAAACAAACAACCCCATCAAAAAGTGGGCAAAGGACATGAACAGACACTTCTCAAAAGAAGACATTTATGCAGCCAAAAAACACATGAAAAAATGCTCATCATCACTGGACATCAGAAAAATGCAAATCAAAACCACTATGAGATACCATCTCACACCAGTTAGAATGGCAATCACTAAAAAGCCAGGAAACAACAGGTGCTGGAGAGGATGTGGAGAAATAGGAACACTTTTACACTGTTGGTGGGACTGTCAACTAGTTCAACCATTGTGGAAGTCAGTGTGGCGATTCCTCAGGGATCTAGGACTAGAAATACCATTTGACCCAGCCATCCCATTACTGGGTATATACCCAAAGGACTATAAATCATGCTGCTATAAAGACACATGCACATGTATGTTTATTGTGGCATTATTCACAATAGCAAAGACTTGGAACCAACCCAAATGTCCAACAATGATAGACTGGATTAAGAAAATGTGGCACATATACACTATGGAATACTATGCAGCCATAAAAAATGATGAGTTTATGTCCTTTGTAGGGACATGGATGAAATTGGAAATCATCATTCTCAGTAAGCTATCACAAGAACAAAAAACCAAACACCGCATATTCTCACTCATAGGTGGGAATTGAACAATGAGATCACATGGACACAGGAAGGGGAACATCACACTCTGGGGACTGTTGTGGGGTGGGGGGAGGGGGGAGGGATAGCATTGGGAGATATACCTAATGCTAGATGACGAGTTAGTGGGTGCAGCGCACCAGCATGGCACACGTATACATATGTAACTAAACTGCACAATGTGCACATGTACCCTAAAACTTAAAGTATAATAAAAAAATTAAAAAAAGTTAAATGATTTAATTTTCATAATCAAAATATACATGCTGCCAAGGTATAAAGACAATGGAAATTTGACCATCACCGCATTCTAAAGAATTTTTCCCATTTTCTATCTGTAGATTAATTAAATCCAAAAGGAAATTTGAATTTAAATTTTGATAAAGTAAAATCCTATTACTAAAGTTTTTAAATCATCCTCAAGGTGAAAAAATAACAAAAAAATTGAAAATAGGAACAGTTTTAGTCAAACAGATGGCAAAAGTCTTTACAAACACCAATTAAAGTTTTCATTTGTTCTTGAAATGTGCAAGTAGGTCATTTAGATAATCCATTTTATGTCCTTGCAAACTTTATTAATCTTGATTTTCAGAATATTTTTAATTATCTCCATTATGCAAGAGCTTCTAGACTCCCTTGTATGCCTAATTTTATGAACAAGATAACTGTTGTTAAATTTTTGCTAAAGGCCAGACATCAAAAACAGTCAACTAAATTAGATAGTAAATAGCTAAATTTCTGGGACTCCATGGAGCTTCTTGAAAGAAAAGATCCAAAGCAAAACTGGGCCTACATTTGGTGAACCAAATCAAAGCACTCTTGGCATTAAAAATCACTGGGAACTGCAGAGAAATGTGCTTGACTTGCATAACTTGTAATAATCTGCCATAAGTATTATGACTTACATTGAATTTCTACAAATAATTGTGAAGGAGTTTCACTACAAAGGAAAAACAAAATGTGAAATGTTAGAATATCACTAATTATATTGATAATTATACAAGCTCTAATATTTTAGATTAGTGGTAAATTTTAACAGCTGTTATTCCTCATGTTTCAGGAAATACCAATTAATCAGTAGAAATTACATATTGTATCACGTTTTATAAATAGTTTTTTCTTTTAGAGAGTTGGAGTCTTGTCCTATTTCCCAAGCTGGAGTACAGTGGCATGATCATAACCCACTGCAACCTGGAACTCCTGGGCTCAAGTGATCCTCCTACCTCCGCCTGCCATGTAGCTGTACAGACATGAGTAACCATGCCTGACTAAAACCTTTTAAATTTTTGTAGAGATGAGGTCTCACTATCTACCCAGGCTGGTCTCAAACTCCTGGCCTCAAACAATCTTTCTGCCTCAGCCTCCCAAGTAGTACAAATAGCTTTTGACAAAATCGTGCATTCTATTATCTCACTAATTTCCTTTGCTAATTTTTGTAGAGACTCTTGAAATAACTTTATTAATTTGTTTATGCACTAATAATTTTTTGAATTGATACATAAAAATGTTATGATCACTAATGCTATACATTCAGTTAGTTAATATTAACTGGGATTAATTTATTTCCAAAACATATCTACAAATTAGATTACAATTTTTGCACTAAAGTGACTTGTCATTGAGATTTATTTAAGGCCAATTATTCCTTCAATTGATACAGTGCTATGAAAATCTTTTATAATCCATATTTCAAAAATTTGAGATTATTTTACAATGAACAGCGATAATGATCCTCAAGAAGATCATTAAAGAAATAATCCATTCTTAGTGTCGTCTTCAGATACATGAAGACTCAAAGATCGTTCAAGGCAATTCTAGTTAAGTGTGAGTTTACTTCTCTTTTACTTCACAGTACTTCAGGCTCTTGGATTTTTTTTTCCCAGAGTTAATAGGGCTAAGTTTTCTAAGTGGCAAAAATATGGCCTTCATAGAGATACTTGAAAATCATACTGAATTTGTTTTGGCTTTTATAGTCAGAGAAATAAATATAAATAAATGAATGCACATACACATATACTTCCACATACACTAATTGTTCTATCATATTTTTAACTGTTATACATTAAACCCAAATTTTCTTCTGACCTTTGTTTATATTGAAGTGATTCAAAACATACAAACCCTTCAGAAATATCTCAATATTTCAGAATTGTTGTAAAAAAGATGAATAATATATAAACACCTGTAAAGTAGTTAAAATATTAAAATAAATAATCAAAGTTTTCCCTGAAAGAGAGGTTGTCAAATACTTCTTATATGAGATTCAAAAATATCCACATTTTTTTCTTCTTCCATTCCCAAAGGTAACGTACTAATGAGCCTGGTCAGCAGTTTGAGGTGGCAATGAGCTATGATCGTGACACTGCACTCCAGTCGGGGCGACAGAGTGAGACCCTATCTTAAAAAACATGAGCCTGATCTAGGATTTTCTGTACTCAACTGACACTGACTCCCTCTGTGCACATATCTGCTATCGCTCCAAACAACCAAAATCTATGATGAAATCTAATACTAGTTCCCTTTGTTTTACATTTGCCCATCCTTCTAAACTGTACATGTGACTAGAATTTAGTCTTATGTAATAAATTTGCAGCCACAGGTTGAAAAATCATAAAAGAAGATCATTCGAGTTTGAGTTTTCTCTTAAAGACTTGGGTATTTATATTAAAACAAATGTCAAACAAATATAGGCATATCAAATACATTTCTCATAGAATTTTAAGATTATTTTAAATATATATTTATTGTAGAAATGTTAACACCATACAATAAAATTTACCTCTGCCTTAATACTTACTTCAAAGTGCCCAAGAATTTAATAAAATATATCCTGCATATAATTCATAGTTGTTTAAAAAATTGTGTTAAAACATGATATGTAGGGAGACCCCCTGAAACTATTGCTACAGAATAAAAGATGAAATGCTCCTGATTATTGTAAATACAAAATTGCATGCAGGATTGTATAAAGACAATGCCAGGTTGGACTGCCAGAACGAGCCAACAGCGTGTGATGTGCTTCCCCCTGCAGAGAGCCTATGAATGGACGTGCAGTCAGGGAGGTTTCACATCACCAAGATTCCTATCCCAGAAAACCAGATGTTCATAGCTCTGGGAATGGAGTGTGACCAGATTCCTGTCTATAGAAACTTTCACTCTTTTCAAGGACATTATTATATTCAAACTTAACTTTGATTATGCCATGTATATATTAACACCATCAAATTAAAGGGTCCTGTAAAGATTTCTTCAACAGAAATTAGAGATGTCAAATGTCTGTGACTTTTACCCTATAGTAAAGTTACTTTGGTTACTTTAAATGAGATGACTTTATTAAAAAAAATCTTCAAGGGGTTCAAATTTAGAGACTCAGGTTCAGAGAGATTGATGGAGTCCACCCACTGCCATTCTGAAACCAAGAAATATTAAGTGGCTTCCTCAAGGTGACACACAGAAAGAATAGAAAAGCTGAGAGGAGAACCCGAGTTGTCTAGCTTTCAATCAGGTGTCCCTTTTTTAATATATAAATTATCTTATTAACACACACACTTTACTGATGAGACAACTAATAATCGATATGGTATGTATAGGAATAAATCATGGCATTAGAACTAAAATTAAGCAGCACATTGTGGTCAAGAAGCTTTAGGAGGTAGAGAAAATGGGAAGTGTTCTCTGAAACCTAGAAGACAGGAGAGGTTGACTTTGACATAGAGGAGATTTATGTTCTAGCATTTGGGCATGCATGCAAAATGGCTACATGAGAGACTAATATTTCTTGGTTTCAGTATAAGACCCACCTGTAGCTGACTTGTGATGGGCAGGTGTCGCAGGGATTTTGTTAAGATTTGCTTTTTGAAGAGTGAAAAATTTAGGGCTGCCTTAGATGACATTTTAAAGTAAGCATAATTCATCTCAAATTTAAATTAAGGAATTTTAATTTAATTTAATTTAATTTAATTAAGGAAATTTAATTTATTTCTTACATCCCATAATTTATCCTCATATTCTGTGATGTCTCACCTTGACACTTCTGCTGCTATGTTATTAATCTAACCCACAACTGATGTACACTATTGTATTAGTCTGTTCTCACACTGCTAAATAAGACATACCTAAGACTAGGTAATTTATAAAGGAAAGAGATTTAATTGACTCACAGTTCTGTAGGGCTGGGGAGGCCCCAGGAAACTTACAATCATGGCAGAAACGGAAGCAAGCACATCCTTCTTCATATGGTGGCAGGAAGGAGAAGAATGACAGCCGAGTGAAGGGGGAAGCCCCTTATAAAACCATCAGCTCTCGTGAGAACTTACTCACTATCATGAGAATAGTGTGGGGGAAACTGCCTCCATGATTCAATTACCTCCCACTGGGTCCCTCCCACAACACATGAGGATTATAGGAGCTACAGTTCAAAATGAGATTTGGGTGGGGACACAGTCAAATCATATCAACTATTCCTGTTTCCTCTTTTTTCAATATTTTCCTGCTTCTCCTCCTTCCATTTCTCAATTTTTAGGTTTTTTTCTTTTCCTAAAAGAAAATCAAAATTTCTTATCTTAGCCACAAAGGTTGATCAGATCTCCTAAAACAGTTCCAACTGTTTTATCTCAGTGAATCTACATGGTAGCTTCTAAAGTAGTATTGGGGACAAAGAACAGGACAGAGTACCTTCCATCAAATCATAGTATGTGGTATGCAAGATGTATAAATGTATGTAAAGTTGCATAAAATGGGTCCTGGGCAAATAGACAAAAAGAAAGGGTTAATTTGTTCTCTTTCCAAAGATGAATTTATCATTTACATATATTTATAAGGATTACTTATGATATATAATTGCCATAAAGCATAAAACTTCTAAACACAATCCACACTTATTCATTTAGCAAATATTTAATGAGTGCCAAAATAGGACAGGAACTCTGTTACATATTCTTAAATAAGTTGATGTCTGAGAAAAAGTCTATTGAGACTGACTTAAATGATTAACATTAAATCAAAATAATTACATATTTATGTACAAAAATAATTTTATTTACATAGACTTGGTGTCTTCACATGAATTTTCTTCTGATATACCATTGTCATATCTACAAATAAAAATTAAAATACAGTACAGGTATTACATCCAGTATCACTCCCCTAACTTAAGAATTTTAATTGTTTTAAATGTTCTCCAAGAGTAATTAATGAAAATGTAGAATTGTATAAAAATTCATTAGGGAACTATTTGATACAAGATGTGCATCTTTTTGTCACCTATACCTTGCTGCTTACAGTGTAGTTTTGTAGCCAGCAATAACAGCAAAAACTGGGAACTTGATAGAAATTCAGAATCCCAGCCCAGATTTAGTGAATCAAATCAGAACTGTATAGATGTTTCCCTAGTGAATAGTATCACATTCATATTTAAAAAACACTCACTGACTTAAGACAAGAACTGGATTGGCTGTATCTAGTCTCATCACATGGTGTAAAAGGTTTCATGCATGACGCAAAATATAGGAAATGAGAATTACACTTTATTTTGCCATAATGTTCATGAAAAATAGGTTCTTAATTTTTGCCAGCTCAGTATACCATTTCCACAAATACTGAGAAGAAATGTCAGAGAACGTGCAGGATATTCTGGATATTTGGAATCTATTCTGGCCATCAAGAAACCTACTCATTCATGAAGGTCTTAGGTACATCCTTGAATTCGTCAGAATCGACCCACCAATTGAATTTATCAGTGTTCAGTTTTAATTGCAGAAATAAACTCTGATCTAACTGAGATCTCTCAGAGTTACATCCTTGAAAATCTTATAATTTTTCTTAAAATTTTTAAAAAATTTAATACAGATCTATTTATTTTTCCTATACTTCTTCATGTGATTTTTGGTAGGTTTTGTGTTTTAGTCTCCATGACCTCACAGGAAGGAAAGAGAATTTGGGCAATGTTCTTCCCATTTATCCGCTAGTAAGACTGACCTAAGTTTAAATATACAGATTTCCACATGCACTTCTCCAGACCAGTGCCTGCCTCTTACCTAGACCTAATAGCACGACTCTCTAGGGAAAGACCAATCTTTCTTTTCCTGCCTTATTTTCCTCTCTTCATTTTATCCTTCACTTTATTGTTGGCTCACCAAAAAAAAAAAAAAACAAAAAACAAAAAAAAAAAACAAAACATACACACACAAAACAAAAAATTGGAATCATATTACTCATCATTCTGGCCATACTCAGACCAGTGGCCGCTTACCCTTGGAGTAGGATGATGTAGTGACAGCATTAACACAATAAACACTCTTAATGAAGAACATTCAAACCAGAATGCAATTTCGTCATTTCTGCTTTTCTTAGACAGCATCTTTCTCTCCATCTGTCCTGAGTTTAGAGCCAAAGTCTGCTCTAGACAAATTTAGTGTCTGTGGGAATGGATGTGGAGGAGTTCAAAGACCAGCCTCCTGGGTGGGTTGCCAAAGAATAAAAAATGTAGAAAAGCTTCTTTTCTTGCCATCAGGGAAAGGAAAAAAAAACCTCTGTCTGTGGGAACCCCACCTAATGTGGCATTAAAAAGCACCATACCACCCCAGGACTCAAACTTGTCTTCTCTGTTTCTTAGGGTTAGCACCCAAAATGGAGATCTTTTTTGTTTCTCAGGAGGTGACATCATCGATTTCTCCCAAAACCCACCTGGGAAAATGGTCGCACTTCACAAAGCACTGACACCATCATACCCCAGCTCCTTGCCTTGCTATTCCCAAAGACAAAATCGTAGCCTTTTTTACTTTATGGGTTTTGCCTCAAATCTCTTTGGGAAAATAGAAGATTACAAATAAAAAAGTATAAGAATGTTATACATTTTTTATGGCTCTTACCCTATATTTTTTTACTCTCTCCAAACAGAAAAGGAAAGCCACATTTGTCCCCTACTTTTATCTTCCTGCAGTAGACATACTATAAATGTTCCTCTTCTCTGTGTGTTTCCTTCATAGTACTCTCTTTCTGCTCCAAAAGTGCCATCAAAACATATTTTTTGCATTATTTCCAATAAGTAATTATTTGTGAGTTTCCAGACTTGGATTCCTCTGGAATCCAGAGAGTTCATTACATCTTTGTTCTGCCTAAGGAAGTTTATATTTGTACAAAACAATGTGCTGAATGGTTACAGGTGGCTTAGAAAGAAACCTTAAACATAGCAAGAAAACACAACTTCACGTTTGTAAGAAAATAGAAAGGGAAAATTAGGGGTGGGGGGGAACAAAATACAATGAAAGTGTCCGTAAAAGTCATACAAAATTACATTCTATGCATAACTATCTTTTACTTTAATCTGCCTTTTTTTTTCTTTGCAAGGAACAGTGTCTCATTGGAGCAATTTTAAGGAAAAGAGGAATTAATGTGGACTGGAAAATTGTCAGGCACCGAGGACTGCTACTCTGCACTCGGTCATAATATACTTTTGTACTTTCTTATGACATCTCGGGTTGTTTTTACTGTGGTTATTGTTTCTCTGAGTTTATTTTCATTGCCTCGCTTATTACTTCCTCTACTGTGTTATAGATGTTGCTATCTCATTACTGTTGTGTCACTTGGTCTGTCTACCTGATTTCATCTGATAAAATTTTTTGGCTTCTTCTACCCCTTCATCTCCTACCACCCTGCTGTCAACTGCCATGTTCTTTAGGCATTTTCCAGAAAATCAGATCACTGAAAGAATGTGTCTTTTTATACCAGCTAAGCACTAGCTAGCCCATAAGTGGGCTACTTTGACATAAAACAAACAAAAACAACAAAACCCCACTCCTCATTTAATCACGGAAATGAAGGTAGAAACGTAGATAAATTTGAAAATGAAACAAAAGCCAAACAAACAAAAAAAAACACTAGCTTCCCAGATAAGGTATGGCTGAGACAGATTATTTTAAAGAGAGGCTTGTGTAGAGCAGGCATCCTGACGTGTACAGTGTATTTTACTACTTTGCATCCTGTACCCATTTTTACATAGATACAGACGCAAAGATGCCTGTATTCGGTAAATTGCCCAACTATTTAGATGTCCAGCTACATTAAATTCCAAATTATCTCCAATAAAAACAGTCATAGTTAAGTCCAGCTTCTTCAGTTAGAGCAATACCATTGAGACATTTCAATTAATTGCTTTGATTAAATGTGGCATTAATATAAAATAATATTTAAAAATTGTGTTTAAAACATAAATAAAACCAGTGCATAAACAACAAAACCCCATGTACCCACCTTTAGTTGAAGACATTATAATGTGGACTTACCTTTGAAATTGTCTGTGTGATCCTCCTCGATCCCCTTTTCTCTCTTCTCCACAAAGGTTTTGTGTGGTTGTTATTTACTTGTTTAGCATCACAGCTTTTTTTTTTTCTTTTTTTGGTTTGATTTGGTTTGGGCTTTTTGTTTTGTTTTGTTTTGTTTTGTCTTTTAATTTTTTTTGAGACAGAGTCTTGCTCTGTCGCCCAAGTTGGAGTGCAGCGGTGCAATCTCAGCTCACTGCAACCTCCACCTCCTGGGTTCAAGCAATTCTTGTGCCTCAGCTGGGGTTACTGGCATGCCCCACCATGCCTGACTAACTTTTATATTTTTAGTAGCGATGGGATTTCACCATGTTGGCCAAACTGGTCTGGAACTCCTGGCCTCAAGTGATCCATCCGCTTCAGCCTCCCAAAGTGTTGAGATTACAGGCATGAGCCACGGTGCCCGGCCTGGTCATATATTTTTTAACGTAATTGTGTCCATAAAGAATATCCTATTTAGTTTTGCAGGTGTTTGGACTTTACATAAGTTGGAGAAAACTGTGTGCAGTCTTCAGAAACATTATTTTAATATTATGTTCTGGAGACCTATTTATGCTATTGTATATGACAGTGTGTCTAGCTGTGACACATATTTTTACTAATGTCCAACAGCAATGTGTCAGTATAACAAAATTTATCAATCCAGTCTATTATTTATGAGCATTTTCAGTTGTTTCCAATATTTTGGAATTAAAACGTTACTGCCAAGAACTTGTTCCTGATGCACATGTGCAAACGTGTTTCTAAAATATGCAGATTGACCATCTTTGATCTAAAAATCTGAAATTCATATTGCTCCAAAACTCAAATCTTTTCAAGTGCTGACATGGCAACACAATTGGAAAATTCCACACATAAATACTCAACACAAACTTTGTTTCATGCATAAAATCATTTAAAATATTGTATAAAATTACCTTTTTGGCTATGTGTATAAGGAATATATGAAACTTAAATGAATTTTGTGTTTAGACTTGGGTCCCATCCCCAAGATATCTCATTATGTATATGCAAATGTTCCAAAATCCCCCCAGAATAATCTGAAATCTAAAACACTTCTAAGCATTTCAGACAAGGAGTACTCAACCTGTATATCTTGGGAGCAAAGCTGTTGAGTCATAGAGTGTACACATCATCCACTTTCCTAGATGTGGCCAACATGGAGAAGGGCTACTCAGATTCTCCTTGAGAAAAGACTTGCTATCCAGCTTTGAGTAATGTAATTCACTAACGGTGTTTCTTCAACCTCTGTTCTAGTCTTTGGGTTAAAGTTTTCTCAGAGTGGCTGCTGGATAATAACTGAGCAGAGTACGGAAAAGGTCCCAGACATTTCTAAAAACAACAAAACTTTTAATGGGCAATCCTTGCTTCAGAGTTTCTGTTGCACTGGCAGAGACTTCGTCATGTCTCTATTGCCAGACGACAGCTGCCTCTCTGCTCTGCCGTATTTCCACTCCTATGTGTGTGTGTGTGTGTGTGTGTGTTTGTTTTTGTTTTTGTTTTGTTATGTTTTTGAGGCGGAGTCTTGCTCTGTCACCCAGGCTGGAGTGCAGTGGCACGATCTCGGCTCACTGCAAGCTCTGCCTCCCGGGTTCACGCCATTCTCCTGCCTCAGCCTCCCAAGAAGCTGGGACTACAGGCGCCCGCCACCATGCCCGGCTAATTTTTTGTATTTTTAGTAGAGACGGGGTTTCACCGTGTCAGCCAGGATGGTCTCGATCTCCTGACCTCGTGATCCGCCCGCCTCTGCCTCCCAAAGTGGTGGGATTACAGGCGTGAGCCACTGCGCCCAGCCTCCTATTTGTTAATCTCTGCATTTATTTCTCAGAATGACAAACCTGCTACACTAAAGCATTCCAAATTATTTTCCATAGTGGTTGAAACAATGGATACATACACTTTCAAGTTTACATACATAAACTTGGCACATACACTTTCAATATATGTGCCAAGTGTACTGTATCTTTAGAAATACTTGGCACTATCCAACTTTCAAAATTTTACAAATCTCATGAGTGAATAATTATTTTTATTTTGCTTTACCCTTATTACTAATAAGATTAGGGGTGTTATGTTGTTTGGTTTGTTTTGCATTTTTTATTCATCTTTTAGTTTTCCTCTTTAATGAAGTGCTTGTTTATGTTTTTCCTTTTTAGTTGCTTGCTTTCCTTTTTGTTGATTTGATTGATACCAAGCACTGTTTATTTGTTAAGTGTTTTCCAGTAATAGAGTTGTAAGTATTTGTTTCCAGTTTGTGTTTTGACTTTCTACTTTATTTATAGTTCTTTTAGATGAATAGCACCTCCAAATTTTAATGTTCTCAAATTTATTGATTTATGAAGTTGTTTGTGTTTGAGGACAAGTAAAACACTTCAAAAAACTAAAAGTTTTCCTCCTAAGATAAGGAAAAAGACAAGGATGTGTACTCTCAGCATTCTTAACATACCTCTGAAAATTCTAGTGAGTACAATAATGCAAGAAAATGAAATAAAAGGCATACAAACTGGAATATAATAAGTAAAACTGTCTTTATTTGTAGGTGACAAGACTGCCTACATAGAAAATTGAAATGAATCTACCAAAAAAAATCCTCAAAATAATATGTGAGTTCAGCCAAGTCACAAGATACAAGAAAAATAAATATACAAATTATTTTTATTTTTATATGTTAGCAATGACCCTGTGAAAGTCAAAATTTAAAATAAAATACCATTTTCAATATCTAAAAATATGCAATAGCTGTCAACAACATAGACAGGACTTATATGCTGAAAACTGTAAAACACAGATCAAAGAAATCAAAGAGGATCTAAATAAATGTGGAGACAGACTATGTTTATAGATTGAAAAAGTCAAAATAATAAAGATTTTACTTTTCCCCAGATGGAAAAATTTTTAGCACAATTGTTTTCAAAGTCCACACGATTTCTTATAGATATAGATAATGTTATACTAAAATTTATATGAAGAGACAAAGGAACCAAAATAGATATAAGTGATCATGACAAAGAAAAATAAATTTAGAAGAATCTGTTTACTTGATTTTAAGACTTATTATAAAGCTCTGTGATACTGACAGGAGGATATAAACATACATCAATAGAACACAATATGGAAGAGAGAAATGGGCCTGTACAAATATTGCCAACTGATTTTTAAATAAAGATACAGAAGCCATTTAATGGAGGAAAGATGGCCTTTTCAATATGTGCAACTGGAGCAGCTAGACATCTCTAGGAAAAGAGAGGAAGGAAGGAAGGAAGGGAGGGAGGGAGGGAGGGAGGGAGGAAGGGAGGGAGGGAGGAAGGAAGGACGGACAGATGGAGGGAGGGAGGGAAGAGGAGAGGAGAGGAGAAGAAAAGAAAGAGAAGAGAAGAGAAGGGAAGATGAAGGAAGGAAGGAAGAAAGGAAAAGGAAGGAGAGAAAAAAGAGAAAAAGAAAGAAGAAGTAGAAAGAAGAGAAAGAAAGAGAGAGAAAGAGAGAAAGAAAGGGAGGGAGGGAGGAAGGAAAGAAGGAAGAAAGGAGGGAGGGAGGGAAGAGGAGAGGAGAGGAGAAGAGAAGAGAAAGGAAGGAAGGGAAAGGAATGAGAGAAAAAAGAGAAAAAGAAGAAATAGAAAGAAGAGAAAGAGAGAGAAAGAGAGAAAGAAAGAAGGGAGGAAGGAAGGAGAGGGAGGGAAGGAGGGAGGGAGGGAAGAAGGAAGAAAGGAAGGAAGGACGGAAGGAAGGAAGGAGAGAGAAGGAAGGAAGGAAGGAGAAAGAAAGAAAGAGAGAGAAAGAAAAGGAAGAAAGAGAGAGAGAGAAAGGAATGGGGGAAGGGAGGGAAGAAGGGAAAGAAGGGAGGTTGGGGAGAGAGAAAGAAGGAAGAAAAAAGGAAGGAAGCATAGAGGGAGAAGAGGGAAGAAAGAAAGAGAAATTTGACCTAAGAACTTTGATCTTACACAAGAGTCAATATAAATTGGATCACAGGCTTAACTGTAAAATATAAAACTTCTAGAAAAAAAAGTATGAGAAAATCTTTGGGATTGAGGGCTAGGTGAGCATTTTTAAGACTATAGCAAAAGCATAATCCATAAAAGAAAAAATTAATAAATTGCACTTCATCAAAATTTTTATAAATTATCTGTGAAAGACCTAGTTAAGGTGATGAGATGAAAAGCTGTAAAATAATGCAAACAACATATCTAACAAATGATTGGTATCTAGAAAAGAAAAACAAAATTTTCAAAACTCAACAATAAAAAATCTAATTGGAACATGAACAAAAGATATAGAAAGACATTTCACGGAATAGGATATACAAATGGAAAATGAACACATGAAAAGATGTTCAACGTCATTACCTAGTAGGGAAATAAAGATTAAAACTACAATATTACATCACTACAAAACTATAAAAAACTTCTACAGTAAAAATACAGTTGAACCTTGAACAATGCGGGGGTTAGCTGTGCTGACTCCCTGGGTAGTTGAAAATTTGCATATAAATTTTGACTCACCAAAGAGTTAACTACTAATAGTCTACTGTCAACCAAAAGCCTTACTGATAACATAGTCTTTTAATACATATTTTATATGTTATATGTATAATACTGTAAGAAAATGTTAATAAGAAAATCATAAGAAAGTGAAAACATATTTACTATTGATTGAGTGGAACTGGATAATCATAAAGGTTTTCATCCTTGACATCTTCATATTGAATAGGAGGAGGAAAAGGAGAGGTTGGTCTTGCTGTCTCAGGGGTGGCAGAGGTGGGCAAAGTGGAGGAGGTGGAAGGGGAGGCAGGAGAGGCAGGCACCCAGAGTGAAAATTTATAGAAATACATTGTAATTTCTGTCTGACTTTTTTGTGTTTTCATTTCTCTAAAAATGTCTCTATACAATACCAATCCTTCTCTCACCATTTGCTGAAGGGTACATGTCATAAAATAATTGGAAATAATCCATAAATAATCAGAACCCTTCTGCCAGATTGACTCAAGTCGGTGTGTCTTCTGGCATTGATTCTTCTATGCCTTCATCCTCATTATCTGACACTGGTTCAGAAGCACTGATTTCCATGAAACTGTCTTTTGTTTATTCCTTTGGTGTAGTGTCTATCAGCACTTGATGTTCTCCAAGATCCATATCTTTAAACCCACCAACGCCCACCTTTTTTCTTTGCATATTCACAACCTCTTTCCTAATTTCTTTGATTTGTTCTGTCATCACTCCTATGAAGTCATGCACAACATCTAAACACAGTTTTCTCCAGCAGGAATTTATTGTTTCAGGCATGATGGCTTTCATGGCTTTTTCTGTAACAATGACATCATCTTCAGTGATGTAATTCTTCTAGATTTTCATGATGTTCATTAGTATTCTCTTTCATAGTGTTGACAATTCTTGCATAGAGCACTATGTGTAATGAGACTTAAAGGTATTTATGACCCCCTATTCTAGAGGCTGAATTAGAGATACTGTGTTTGGGAGCAAGAAGACCACTTCAAATTATAAAAATTAAGAATAGAAAACATTTAAAAATTTTGTAATGCTTTTAAAACTATTTAACCTTGTATTTCTTCTATGACCTGTTTTGATAAATTATAATTTTCTAGCAATTTAGGCATTCCATTTATTTTTACTATTTATATCAGACTTAATTTATTTGTGGCTAGAAAAATTAGCTGCATGCTACCAATCCTGTGAAATCCATTGAGACTTGCTTTATAGGCCAGCATGTGGTCTGTGTTTGTGATTCAGAAGAATGTGTACCTATATGTTGAGGTGAAGTGTTTCATGTAAAAGAATTAGATCAAGCTTGCTAATTGGTTCTTACAATCTTATTTATCGTTGTTGCTTTTTTGGTCTCCCTCTCTACCAAATACTGAGAGAAATATGTTCAGATATTCCTAAAATATTATAAATAAAGCAATCTTTAAAAGTGGAGTGTGAGTTCTTGGGGAGTTTTATGGCAAATCATACTTGGATAAAATTGAAAACATTAGGAAAAACTGTTAACAGACTGAAGAAAAAATATAACTAATACGTTTACATCATTCGATTTTAACCAGTCAACAAACCATATTTGTATCCACTGTATGCCAGGCATTAAAAAAATAAGACAAGAGTTCTGTAAAATACCTTCCAGTATGCATATGCAAATAAAGTGTACATCAATTTTGATAGAAGATGGCATTTGATGAAAGTTCTAAAAGAGTGGAACAAACAAAAGACTAATGGAAGCCAAGGGAAGTGGTTACTTCTAGACAAGTAGATCAAAAATGCCCTCAGATGAAGCAGTGGACTCTTGAAGGATGAGTAAAATTATGACAAAGAAAAATGGAGAAAGAATGTATTTTCCAAAAGTGAGAAGGCAATAAAATATTGGCTTGTTTAGGAAAATTGAGTTTTTCCAATTTGATTAAAATGTAGGGCTCATAATATATCTGGGTGATATGTCAAGGTAGGGTGATTGATATGAGCTGAATTGCCTCCCCCCACACCTGGAAAAACAATGTATATGTTGAAACCTAACCCCTAGTACTTCAGAATGTGATTATTTTGTGATATGGGGCCTTTAAAGAGTTAATTAAGCTGGGCGCAGTGGCTCACATCTGTAATCCCAGCACTTTGGGAGGCCATGGTGGGTGGATCACCTGAGGTCGGGAGTTCAAGACAGCCTGACCAACATGGTGAAACCCCATCTCTCCTAAAAATACAAAATTAGCCGGGCTTGGTGGCACATGCCTGTAATCCCAGCTACTTGGGAGGCTGAGGCAGGAGAATCACTAGAACCCAGGAGGTGGAGGTTGCAGTGAGCCGAGATCGCGCTATTGCACTCCAGCCTGGGCAAAAAGAGCAAAACTCTGCTTCAAAAAAAAAGAAAAAGAAAAAAGAAAAAGAAAGAAGATAATTACATTAAAATGAAGCCATCAGGGTATATCCTAATCCAACCTGACGCAGAGAGAAAGCAGGAGTGCACATGCGCACACACACATGCTATATGAGGACATAGCAATAAGACAGCCATCTGCAAGCTAAGGAGAGTGGCCTCAGAAGAAACCAAATCTGAAGACACCTTGTGTTGGATTTTAGCCTCTGGACTGTGAGAAAATCAATTTCTGCAGTTGAAGCCACCAAGTCTGAGGTATTATGTTTTGGCAGCCCTAGAAGACAAATACAGTGATATACTGGAATAATAAAAAATGATGCCTATTTGCCTTTGGTTAGCCTTTGAAAGCCATCACACATATATACACTTTCTTTTAAAAACATTTACTACTTTCAATTTCAGCTGGTTATTAACATGAGGATCCCTCATACTTAATCCTCGCTTTATCTGTTCTTCTGTTGCTCCATTTTTACCTCCTTAACAGGACTCCAAATGTTAATCATCTAAATCTAGTGTCTCTTCGACCACACGAGCTCTCCCATAAAAAAATCTTCTAGCTTAAGAATAGTTCATGAATATCTATATATAAGGAAGATGAGTCAATGGGGCATATATGAAAATAGGCATATGACCAATGTAATTGTAGAATATGCCATAGTGCTGAATCGTAGAAGGTAAAATGTGAGTTTATTTTAATTCCACATAATGTATTTGCTAGAAGAATATTTACTTTTGTTTTTGTTACAGAGTTCAGGTTTCCTTATTTACTAAATGTCACTTAAGAACTCTAAAGAGTGACCTACAGCTAAATCTTACCTGGAAATAAATGAGCAACATGGTATTCATCTCTCATTCATCTGCTAGTTTGGATTTGATGTGGCATCCATAAAAAGCACATCATGTTAACATATAGCTAATAGGACAGCCATGAGTTGTACAAGTTAATTGAGGCTTGGTTTCAAATAGTGTGTCTGCTCATTTAATATTCTTCTAAGCTTCCAGCAGTTTTAATTTGTGAAAGCAATCACTTTACCTAGAAGTCATATGCTGTCTTATTTTTATTACAAATTGCTGTTTAATGATGAGTGTGTTCTTTCCCCATAAAAGATTGTGAGTCATTTACTAAAGGACTGAGGCTAGGTTTCCCATTTCTGTTGTATCTTCTGTAGTAGTTTGGTATTCTGCAAAGAGTGCATATTGGAAAAATATGGAAAACAGAAGTCATAGGTAAAAAGTGTCACAGATAGCATTTTATATAAATGAGAAAACCAAAAGAGTAAGCAATATTTAAAAGAAGGTTGAACATGGATCTATGATGAGAACAAGTCATAAGCAAGGGTTGTAATCAATTTAATTATGTGCCCTTGAGGTATAAAGGGGAAAAATGTTAGGAAAGTATTTCAAGCTTGCTCATAAACCAATGAAATCTAAGCCCTTTATGATTCTAATATTGTAAAACATCAAAGAAAATGATTTAAGCAGTTTAGTTTGTTAGCACAGCAAGATGAATAAAGTTATATTAAATATTGATTTTGTCATATCATTTCCCACTCTGATATTACAGAAAAAAGAAAATTTTAACAGTAATTTTTAAGGGTAGATGTGCAAAATTGAAAACAAAGAATACTTGGAGCATTCACAGCTGATAAGAGATATTTTTTATACTGCTTCATCTTACTCTATTTTCTTTCATTTAACTGGGGATGATTTGCTGAAATTCAGCAATTTTGCTTTTTATAGTAAAGAAACTGACAGATGTATTTGGCTGCAGAAATATCTCTGAACTAGTTCCAAAAGATATATAAGAAAAAAGAAAGTTTCTCATATATGTATGTGTTGTGAGTGTGTAATTATTATTTTTACAGAGGTTTCAGAAAACACATTTCTTAGCATATCTAAGTTAGGATTTCAAATCAGAATTTTAAGAGATGACCTTCATAATTTATGCATCTTCTTTCTTAACAATATAGAGATCTATGCCATTCAAATACATAACATTGACATTCTTATTGAGGAAAAAAGAAAGTGAGCACAAATTGTGAGTAAAATATATCCCATTAAATTATGTTTTGGCAAATGCTTGTTACCACCGTCATCATCAATAAATGTTTTTCAAGGATCCTCCATGAGTCAAGCTAAAAATGAGTTTTTGGGTTTATGAGGTCATCAGATGTAGAATCCTTAAAATAAGATATGCATTTTTTATTTGCAGACAACAGAATAATTTACTGTACCTAGTTTGAGCTCAAATAGATTTATTAAAGGATGTTTGAAACTTCACAGTATTATAGGAACACTGAAGGGTGAGATCCCAGAAATAGTCCTCAAACAACATTGCAGAGCTGGCCTGATAAGGAAACTGCTGCTGCTGCTGTGGCCACTGAGCACAGAGGTACCCAGCTTCCACCTCCACCCACACCAGGAGCAAGAAGCAAGATCTCACTGATCACCCATAAAACTCACCTCCAATTCAAACTCTTGCATGGGTATGTTTATTGAGTGGGACTTAAGTTACATGTGCATACACTGGCAATAAAAATTTTTATTTTATTTTATCTTCGGAAAGATAATTAACAACATGAGAATGTGGGGAACTGTTACAATAAGGGTGAAAATAATTTAAAATGTTTTGGGTAGCCACAAATGGCAAGTGCCTATTTCTATGTAACAACCCAAACTTTATTAGCATTGCCAGATTTTAGTTTTGAAATACATTCACTATTTATAATATATAAACATCTTCCTACAATTATATGATGATCATCAATGCTGGTTCTTATAAAGCGTAACACATTCGAGGTGCCAGGGAACTGCAGTAACGTGATCTCCTCTAGGGAAAGTCATAAAATACTTTTTCTATTGTTAATTCGTAAGTAGTGTTATCTTGAAGTTTAGCTATAGTATATATTACACTGTCTTTCTCCCATCAACTAGTGCTAATGGTGCTTAAAAATAGCCTAAACTAAATATTCATAATAGAAAAAGTAACCAAGTATTTTTTAAAGTAACCACTTGTATAATTTTAAGTCCAATAAGAAAATGTCTATGTAAATATTGCCAGTGTTAGCTTTTCTTGTGAAGGATATAAAGTATTCATAATCTTGTCTTGATGTGTTCTAAACTGCCTTCACTGCTCCTCTTCTCCTCTATACTCGCAGTAACATTTGTTTTAAGTGAGTCAGCTGAGATGAAAATATTAGCTTATTTCACCAGTGACCTAATTTTGAACAATACTGGAAAACAAGACATGCTGGGTAATGAAAAAGACTGCTTCCAATTGTTCTCTCTCTGAACCATTCTGGATGGCATTCTCTTAGCAGAATTGTTGGAAAATTATAGGAAAGTTTAAAAGATAACCACAAAAGAAAACCTGGCAGAGGAATAGCATGCAGGAAGTAGTCAGTAGTTGCTTCTCCCTTCAACTTTTCTCTTTAGTCCCTTCTCAGTCTGATTCAGAAAATGGTGATTGCCTGTCTTTCTACCTGCTGGGAGTTTGCTGAGCCTTGTGGTGAGTAACCTCAGTTTGCTGCCCTCCAGTCATTTACAGACAGTGTAGTAAACATTTATTTCCAAAACAGGTGGTATGAGCCGTGAGAAGACATGCATACGTACAGAAGTTCACATATGAAAGAAGGAAGTAATTAGCGTTTTTTCCTTCAAAGAATAGGTGGTGCCTCAGCAATGTCTTGACAGGTAAGTAGGAACTCAATAATCCAGGAACATATGATACATCAGTAAAATCAATTTTCCCAGTGAATTGTCCCTTATCGGTCGCAAAACCTAGGAGACTTTGTAAAACCAGATAGCCTGCGAACTACTGGTGTATATATTAATCATTTTACATAGATTTGAGTGATTCTGGCTCCTTTAAAATCATATCATATAGACTGATCTCTTCATTCAGCAGCTGAAGCATAATACTCTTAAATTACTTCAATGAGAAAAAAATAGCCCTGATTTTCCTGTTTAATATAAAAGAGAGAGAGAAAGAAGTTGTATCGAAGCCATGACCACTCAGGGAAGAGTGGTTTCTTGCCACTCATAGTGTTAAGTACACAATAAATGCTTATTGAAAGTATACATCTCGGCCGGGCGTGGTGAATCATGCCTGTAATCCCAGCACTTTGGGAGGCCAAGGTGGGTGGATCACGAGGTCAGGAGATCGAGACCATCCTGGCTAACACGGTGAAACCCTGTCTCTACCTGGGCATGGTGCCTGTAGTTCCAGCTACTCAGGAGGCTCAGGCAGGAGAATCGCTTGAACCTGGGAGGTGGAGGTTGCAGTGAGCCAAGATCGTGCCACAGCATTCCAGCCTGGGTGACAGAGCAAGACTCCATATCAAAAAAAAAAAAAAAAAGAAAAGAAAGTATACATCTCTCTATGCACTCTTTGTAACAAGAGATCTATGTTTAACGGGATTAAACTCTAGGATGGAGAATAGGGATAGCTTGAAGGAGGCTTAGCTGTGCGGGGACAAGATAACAAATGTAAGATTATTTCAAGTGAAAATTAAAATGAATATGGCATAGAAATCCAAAGACAATAGGAACAAATACGTATGAAACTAATAGGTTATTTTTTTCATCAAGGGAATGGAAAATTAAGATTAGTTCTGATCACAGAATTGCAAAGTAGCATACAAAGGGAAAAGCTTAGTTGATAGGGCAATAAGCAAAGTAAGTTTTCAGTGGTTTTTTAAAAGATATTTATTTAAACTATAAGAGTATCTCTCCACTCTGAAATTTCCAGTATTCTGTGGTCATCCTTTCTGTTGTTATCTAAACTAAATATTCTAGGTTCTTATTAGGCATGATGTTACATAATCCAGCCACCTCATAAATATTTTTGAGGAGCTTCCTGTGTTTTTTGTCACTTGTCACGTGTAAGACTACCATACATGGTCAATAGATTTGTGTATTGTATACCACACAATTCCAAGGGCACAACTCACTGGAATTGGTATTCACTGTCCTCCCGGAGTTGTACAATGGACACTGTGCATAACTGTACATAGCAGTCCTGCAGCTCTCATCTCAAACCTCCTCTCTCAGCTTTTGTGTGATCCCCTCTCCTGTATTGCTACGCATCATCCCTGCATCTTCAAGCATGTCTGCCTCACCTCCCATCCAAATATGGACGTGCTACCTCCCTTTAGACATCTAAACCATTGGCTGCAGTCTAAAAATTTTTGCTCTGAACTTTGTGGTATCAAAAGATTATATATATACATATATATGTATATATATCACATTCTCTGTGTGTGTGTGTGTCTCTTACACATACATACACACACATAAAGCTTAAAATTCCGTATCAATAGCACATCCACTATTCCTAAAAAATTGTTCATTGTTTTTTTGCTTTTCAAATAGAGTCCAAACTTTCAGCCTTATAAACCAAAAAGAACAAATTAGCAAGCAAAACAATTATAATGACAAACATTTTCTATATATAAATGATGTATGATAGGCATTGTTCACAGAAAGGTACCTGGGAAACTACAAAGTAATTAATTTTGAGAGTTTGAGTTTTGTGTTATGAGTTCATCATGACTCCAAAAGGTGCTACTAATATTTATTTATTCATAATTCTAACTTTAAGCTGGGGTGTCAGACTTGGAAGCAAAGAGATTGAGTTTCTGGAAGAAATCCAGAAATTCTGGCTGTTCTCAGTTTACCTTGCGAGAAACTCAGACTAGCAGAGCAAGACAAGGGCATGTGCATAGGAGCAGTTTCAATTGTCTGAGTTGGCATGTTGATAAGTTTAGAATTCTGAATAAATATTATTAGAAAACCTTTGCTAGCTCTCTTCCTTGCAGTTGGACAGGACAAAGAAAAATCAAGGGCATAGTCATAGCTAAGTAGGAATACAAAGTTGTGAATGCATGGCTCGCACTTCCAACCTGTCTGCAACTATGCTCAACTTTTGAAGATTCCTGCCTAGTAGTCTATGATTCTAGCCTCCATATTCAATATGCAGTCCAGAATATAAATCATTAATTGAAGTTGTGTTATGGACTAAAGGAGAGTAATCCATTTACCAATGTATATAATATATAAAATACTTTGTGTATCTTCATGTGGTGATTCTAAAATATTTATTGCCTCCATCAGATTTACTTAAAAAATGCAGTTTGAAGGAATAAATGTTTACAGATGAAGGATGATTAAGCAGATAGACTAGTATCGTCATGTTTTGGTGATCTCAACTCTGGAATATCAACAAACCAACTCCTTGGTAATTGTTAGTTGCAAATGGGCCATCTTTGAAATCAGTCACTCTAACTATAAAGAGGTCTGCTTCCCCCTGCTGGAAGCATCCAATAGCTGCACTTAATCCAGCAATCTTTTTAATGACGTCACCATTGATAGGAACTGCTCGCTCACATTTATTAAGTGCTTACTCAATAAATGGGTTTGGTATAAAAAATGATAATAAAATGTCCCTTTTCTCTTGTGCATGACAAAATCTTTCTTATGACTCCCGGAGATGTGACTATAATTCTGTCTAGGCTTCTCCTTGACCACGCCATGTGTGCTAATACACAAGCCTAAGAAACAATACGGTTTGATGCTCTAAGACTTGAAAAGTGCTTTGTTGGCTTCTGGGCAATCGTCCCACATCTTTCCCTTCTTGCAAAACCCGCAATCACATGCAGAATCTCCAGGTTCTCAAAGAGGAGAAATCCTTATTTTCTTTTCTTTTTTTTTTTTATGTTTTTTTAAATTATTTTTTTTTATTATTATACTTTAAGTTTTAGGGTACATGTGCACAATGTGCAGGTTACTTACATATGTATACATGTGCCATGCTGGTGTGCTGCACCCACTAACTCGTCATCTAGCATTAGGTATATCTCCCAATGCTATCCCTCCCCCTTCCCCCACCCCACGACAGGCCCCAGAGTGTGATGTTCCCCTTCCTGTGTCCGTGTGTTCTCATTGTTCAATTCCCACCTGTGAGTGAGAATATGCGGTGTTTGGTTTTTTGTTCTTGCGATAGTTTACTGAGAATGATTTCCAATTTCATCCATGTCCCTACAAAGGACATGAACTCATCATTTTTTATGGCTGCATAGTATTCCATGGTGTATATGTGCCACATTTTCTTAATCCAGTCTATCATTGTTGGACATTTGGGTTGGTTCCAAAGTGCTGGGATTACAGGCATGAGCCCTTATTTTCTTTTTCTAAATGTCCTATCACTTTTCTTATCCATCATTCCTTTTGTATTTCTTTTCTGTCACAGAAATCTTCAGTGTCTGGCGGAGGCCTTTCTTCTTGAACCAATTACATGTTTGTTTACCATAACACATTTTATAAGAATAAAAATACCTGACTCCTTCCTTATATCTATGTGTGTATATTTTATGTATATATTAATTATTCCACATAACCGGAGTCAATGAAAGACAATTTTACAAAACAATTTTTTACAAAACCCTTAAATAAATTCATCAAATTTTACATATCTATGGTATGTCTTAATACTTTATGAACAAGTTTAGAATAATGTCATGATTTGAAACTGAAGTTAATAAACATAGTGACTGTGAATAGCTACTGAAGCTTCTGATTAAGTAACATATCATAATTATGGCTGGTCGCCATTTGGATGTTTTCCAATTGTCATCAGGAAATGAGGTGTATCCTCAGGAAGATAATTAAAAGAAAATTGTTATATAATTTTCTAGGACAGTAATAAAGACTCACAGATAATGAATATTGAAGACAAATTGGTGCTTTGCAATTAAGTTTGTTTTCCAAATCAAGTTTGTGTGTTACAGAAGGAGGTTCACTTTGGAGAGTGAAATTTCTAAGATGAAACATATCTCTGGTGATTCATGGCAGATAGGAAAAACAAGACCATTCTTAGTTTTGAGATTTCCAAAGAGTAATATCACATGGGGACAGTTTTATTAAAAATACAGCAGTTTTGGATTTTTCAGTCCTCAGATGAAGATTGGTGTTCTTTATAAAGTTCTGCTCCAACTTACAGAAAAGTTGTGAAGATAATGTTTTGTTTCATTTGACTATTCCTTGGTCAGAACTTACTATGTTTTATAGTAGTATTGTCTATTGGTGACCTTGAATTTGATTTCACAATTTTCACACTGCCACATATTAAATTTCGTAGTACAGATACCAGGATTCAAAACAAGTGAGGATCTAATACTGGGAGATCAGAACCCAAAGTCAAAAAATATCTCAAATTACTTTGACAGTCTCATGCAGGAGACTTCTGTTCTCTCTGTGAGATTCTTAGCTCTGTTATCATACATAACACTATTTTAATCAAGCCAAAGCCTGATAAAAATCAGCAAAGATCATTTGCACTGTATTTTGGCCTAATTTGGCAGTTAAAATTGGTCAATGGATGGTGACACAAACAATTCTTGGAGAGTCTAAGACTCGCTATGTTCTCTGATGGCAATTCTTTTTTAAATGTATATATTTTGTTAACATTTCATTATGGTTTTAGTTAGTTTGTTTTTTAGTCTGTATACTCAAGGACTATGATTTCCATATCAGAATTTTCTTTTCATTTTTGACAAGTCTTTTTAACTTTGCATAAACTAGATTAATGGTAATTGCAAATAGTTTAAAAACAGTAAATAGAAAATCAAGGGCTAAGATATGCAGTACACATAATTTTAAAAAATTGATTAGGCATCCCTATTATCTGAAAAATTACATAACTCTTTATTTGGCTTTTTAATGTAAAATTAGAAATTCTAAGAAAGTTTATATTTACCAAATTAAAATTTAGTTTTATTTTTTTAAACTCAACTTTATGTGAATACTCTGATTTAAATGACCATACCTCTTTATGAAAAGGAATGGCAGATCTAACATACTATATACATTGCTAATGTTTGGAGAGCACTTGTGTCTATAATGAAGTATCAATGTTAAAGGAAAATACTAAGAAGAAGACTAAAATGTAAAAAATACTATCTTATTTTCTTAGCTTAAGGTATTTTAATAGGCTGTTACTAATTATGGCTATAACTACATGTGTCAACGTTTTTGCTAAAGAATAACACATTATGGCTGAACAAAAATTGTTCAACATTATATGTGAAAATAGGTATTAATTGAACCATTTTGGCTAATATAACCATTTCTTGAAATTATTACTTATATTTGTGGCTTCTATTGTTCTACCCCTCACAATTAAATGGGGGTTTCAACATGGTGACTACAGTTAATAAGTTTTTCTTGAAAATTGCTAAGAGAGTACATTTTAGGTGTTTTCATCATGAAAAATAATAAGTATGTGAAGTAATTCACACATTAGCTCAATTGAGCCATTCCACAATGTATACATATTTGAAAACGTGTTGTACATGACAAATATATATCTTTTATGTAAATTAAAATAAAGAAATAAATATTTTGTTTTCTTAAATACCCAGAAAATTTGACTCCTAGTAAAATTTTACTGTTTCTTATCTATACCTCTAGGGTCCATCCAGTACCCAAATTATTTATCATGTATGTGCATAATGAGATACAACCAAGAATGTACATTGCCAGTTTATAATAGCCAAATTTGAGAAATGAATAAATTATGGTATATATATAAAATAGAATAAATGAAGCCTTTGAAATGTATGATCTGAATGTATCAAGTTGGAAACATAATATTGAAAGGAGAAAAGTGATATGCACAGTAAGATGCTATGTATATGAATTTTTTAATACAAAAATATAGACATAATGCATGCTATTGTACACAAATACACATATTTTGCAAGATATTAGGTCTTTCTGTAAAGAGATTGGCAATAATGATTGGATTAAGTGTGGCTTTTAACTATATTAGTAAAATTTTACTTCTCTTAATTTCTACCCCAAAAATGATCTAAAGAAACAAAATGACAAAATAGTAATGTACATTACATTTTAGTGATAAGAAAGTCTTAGTATCTAAACTCTTTGGATGTTTGCAATGTTTCATAATTTTCTAAAATAATAAGTTATACTGGATGTGCTCAAGAGATATAGATAGGAAAGATAGCCACATTTTACTGGAAATTAAATTTTTGGCCTTCCCAAGGAAGACTTTCAAAACAACCTTATATGAATGAATTGAGCTGATTGAAAAGTTACTGGCTGGGCACAGTGGCTCACATCTGGGAGGTGGATGCTGGTGGATTGCTTGAGCTCAGGAGTTTCAGACCAGCCTAGGCAACGTGGTGAAACCACATCTCTAACATTGCCACTTTTGAAAACAGTCTGGCAGTTTCTCTAAAAGCTAAAGCTAGAGTATGATCCAGTAATATCACTCCTAGATATATACCCAATAAAATTAAAAACATATGTACACACAATAATTGTATACAAATATGGAAACATTATTTAAATATCCAAAAAGTGGAAACAACCCAAATATCCATCAACTGATGAATAGATAAAAAGTTGTGGTATATACATATAATAGAATACTATTCAGCAATAAAAAAGATTGAACTTCTGACATATGATACATTGTAGATGAACCTCAGATCATGCCAAGTAAAATAAGCCAGATACAAGAGACCACATATTGTATGATTCCATCTATATAAAATGTCCATAAAAAGCATGCTAATCAAGACAGAGTGTAGATTAATGGTTGCCTTGGAATGGGCATGAGAAAAAGATTAAATGTTAATAGGCATGAGGGATATTATTTAAAGGATAAAATTGTTCTAAAATTTAGTTATGGTGATGTCTGACCCACTCATTAAAGTTAATAAAAATCATTGACTTGTATACATGAAATTACGGATGATTTTTATAATATGTAGACTATTCCTCAATAAAGCTGTTTTAAACAATAAAAATAAATTTAAAAAAAATACCAAAAAAGAAAAAGCCAGGTGTGATGGCATGTGCCTGTGGTTCCAGCTACTCAGGAGGCTGAGGTGGGAGGATTACTTGAGTCCAGGAGGTTGAGGCTGCAGTGAGCCATGATCATGTCACTACACTCTAGCCTGTATGACAGAGAGAGACCCTGTCTAAAAAACAAAAACAAAAACAAAAAAGAAGTTACTGAATGTCCTGTGACTTGAAATGTTGACTAGGTTAAAGCAATGTTTCCCCTAGTGTGCTCCTGCAAACACCAGTTTTATATGATTTTTAAAGTATTATCTGAAAAAGGATTGCATGGCCAAATAAATTGAAAAAACTTTGGGTAAGCAGATAATAATACATTGTATTGTTCAAGAGATCTCAGTTTTTGATGTGCTATATATTGTGCATTTTCAAGAAAAAAGCAGAGCATATAGAATGTGCAGAATTAATTGATCATGAGGCTTTGTTGTGTGTTTGTGATGTCTTTGGAAGTTTTCCCACCGAACATATGTTGAGGCTTATGAAACTTGAGGATTACTTGTCAGGGAATGAATAGAGAGAATTTCAACAAAGGATGTGTAAGAATTAAAGAAAAAGGAGAGAAACACGAAGGATGGCTTTTCAGTCAACAGGGACAGGTTTATTTTAAATAAACCTGAGACGGGCAGCTGGCACACCCTCTTACAGATTGTTTTTAAGGATTTAGGGTGGGAGAGTTTATCAGAGGCTTGGACTGCTTCTGTGTCTCTTTGTTGTGCTTATCTGGGAGGGAGAGTTGTGTGTCTGTTCCCATACGTCTTTCCGCAGTCGCAGGCATATCCCCCCGAGTCGGCTTTTAGCTTCCCTATCTTAGTGCACCTGAAGGGAAAGGAATGTGCTTATTAAGGCCCACTGTTTTACTGGGGCCCATTGTGTAAGGGTGAAATTTGGCAGTTACCTGAGAGACTGTCCCCTCACCCCTCTCTGCGCCCCGAGCTGTCTCGTCTGTGTTTTACTGTCTGCTCCTTCTGGCTGCTTGTCGTGAGAAGAGAAGGGATTACCTTGAAATGCAAAGGCTAGAAAGGGAGCGGGACTTAAAGTGGCGGTATTTGTCCAAGATGACAGGTGCTCCTGCTCTGTCAGGATGGATGGCTGAACTAGACAATGGACAAATCTGAGAACTTAATGCAGCATCTATTATGTGCAATGGACTTTATGAAATGTAGAAAAACAAAATAAGATACAGTTTATATACTTAAGGATATTAGTGTGATAGAACAAAAAATTATTCCTTCCAAACATGAGATTCTCAGACAATATTTTATTTTTATCTTTTTTTTCTTTTTTTTTTTTCTGCGACAGAGTCTCGCTCTGTCGCCCAGGCTGGAGTGCAGTGGCGTGATCTCGGCTCACTGCAAGCTCCGCCTCCCTGGTTCACGCCATTCTCCTGCCTCAGCTTCCCGAGTAGCTGGGACTACAGGTGCCCGCCACCAAGCCCAGCTAATATTTTGTATTTTTAGTAGAGACGGGGTTTCACCGTGTTAGCCAGGATGGTCTTGATATCCTGACCTCGTGACCCGCCCGCCTCGGCCTCCCAAAGTGCTGGGATTACAGGCATGGGCCACCGCGCCCGGCCTATCCTTATCTTAATAATATCCCACCTAATGAATATGTTGGGTTTGCGCTCCTGACAAGTGTGACAAGAGAGTAGTTAAAAGTAATTTCTTCTGGTATCTAAAAGGCAGTGAATCTCAAAGTGTAATTTAACTTTATGTTCCACTATTTTTCTCTTCTGTGGATTAATAGCCTTCATTAGAAAAGTGATTTCCCACTTCTATGTTGCAGTACCCAATGCCACTCACCACCTCCTGATACCTCCAATATAATATGTTTTGAGAATTTTTAGGTTAAGCAAAGGCTTCTAATATTATTAGGGGTTTTGCATAGTTTTTATTTATCCAACAACTTTACAAACTCTGTCTTGAATATGTTAAACATAGTTATTAAATTTTTAAAATGATTGCTTTATGACTATTATCTAGCAGATCAAAATATTGTTGAACTAATTTCTTAGCAGTCCAAATGATGTATTTACACATCCTCACAATCAACTTATTTGCCTGAGTGAAAACCACCTTTTAATATATTAATGTATGAAGTCACCATCTGTCAATTGTTAATTTATTCATTTAAAAATTATCTACTTTACTGGTAAAGTTATGGGGATTATTTGTGTCCACGTGTGGTATGTGTCTGTATGATATATTACAAAAAGAATTTTCTAATATCAGTTTGGTTAAGATACCAGGACAAAACCAATACTTATTAACAACTTCCATTATCCAAGTCCAGGAATTTGTAACTGATTCTGCCAATAATTTCCAACTACTTAAGAAAAAGTAAAGAACTCTCTAGAAATTTGAAAGCAATTAAAAATTAAACATTTCCTTACTGTATTCCCCTAAAATTAAAGTAAAGTGGAGGGATGTGGAGCTTTCAAGAGAATCTCTTAGAGAGCTTGAACTTTCTAGTCTCCAAGAATGTTGGAAATGTGGGAACTAATAAATTACTAACATTGAAAACAAAATAAAAGGAAGGATTGTCTGGAGTACCCTGCTTGGTGACAGGAAGGAAGAGTTTTTGTGCAAAAGACTCAACTTTAGGGGTTGATAGGGCAAAAGCATATGTATGTTTTTTATAAGTAGTATTTGCATCTTCTGGACAGATGTTGACTTAGGATCATTCTAAAGAAACGTTAACCATGAAAACTGCATGCAAGGGGTGTCCACAAAAAAGGGGTCAACCTAGAAGCAAGATTCAGAGGAAATTGTGCAAGCAGCTGCATTCCCAGAAAAGCTCATATCCTCATGATGGCCACTATAGGACATTTCAAAACAAACCCACAAGAGCACTTCCATGGGAGCTTTGATAAAAAACAACAGCCCAGAATGGAACAAGAGTAGATGATAACTGTGAAAACCTCATAGAATTTTGCCCTCTCCTTTTCTCCCTCCTCATACTTTCTGAGGCAGACCTGGTGGAAGCAGAAGCAGGCCTGTGAGGGGGAAAAAGGGGTCAGAAGAAGGTGGAGAACCTTCCAGGTTTGACCCTTTCTAGCCTGTATCCTACAGTAGCTGGGGGATCAGAAATTTGGAGGCAAATAAAAGTCTGAAGTTTATGTATTTTTATGAGGTGCATTTATCATTATCTGAAAATGAGACTGTTTATCTTTCAGAATAAGGAAAAAGACTAATTTGCTTGCAATACATGACAAAAATTAGATAACAGAGTCAGTTTAAGGGGACATTGTGAAAAACAATAAAATTACTTTTTTCTTGAAGCTTACCAAACTTCAATAAAATAAGTACATGTAAGATTAAAAGAAATGAAGATAGTAACTTGATTTGGCATCATTTAAATGACATCATTCAATCAAACTTAAATAGCATGAAATTTGACTTTCATAAATTTAAAAATAAATTATAGTATAAATAAATGATAGTGAATTTTCAGTTTCCTTAAATATTATTAAAACAATGTCTAGCACAGAGCAGATGCTCTTGAGAGAGAGAGAGAGAGAGAGACAGAATCTCACTGTGTCGCCCAGGCTGGAGTACATCAGTAAATATTTTGGAATAAATATTTTTAAATGGCTGAAACAATACATGTTTAATGGCAAAAAGTAAAGAATAAGAAGTTATTGCTCTGGCCAGATGTGATGGCTCACACTTGCAATCCCAGCACTTTGGGAGGCTGAGGTGGGGGGAGACCCTGAGCCCAGGAATTAAAGACCAGCCTGGACAACATAGTGAGACCCCACATCTACAAATAATACAAAATTAGTCAGTGTGGTGTTGTGCCCCTGTAATCCCAGCTACTCAGGAGGCTGAGGTGGGAGGATTGCTTGAGCCCAGGAGGTTGAGGCTGCAGTGAGCTGTGATCACGCCACTACTCTAGTCTGGGCAACAGAGCAAGGCCCTGTCTCAACAACAACAAAAAGTTATAGCTCAAAATCTTGCTAATAGTACCATTTTGTTTTTGTCCTTAGTCTTTCTATGAACACTAATTATTTCACATATATTATCATATTTTTAATCATATTACTTTTGGAGCTTTATTTTATAACAAGTTTGAAAATGTTATTTTTTAAATTGAGAACTGAAATCTCTAAGTTTCACACCAATGTATTTTAATTATTTCAAATTCCAATTATAATTCCTAATACTGGTTAAAACCAAATATATTGACAAAAGAGATTCTGAAAATGTTATTTTTTATTAAAATCTGAGATCTCTAAGTTTCACACCTATGTATTTCAATTTCCAGTTATAAATAATTCCTAGTACTGGTTAAAACCAAATATATTGACAAAAGAGAGTCTGGTAATAGTAAAGTAACAAATTATATTATAATATTTTAAATCAGTTAAATCAATTTGAGAATACAATTCAAAAATAATTTCCAGACCCAAAGCACACTAAAATTAAAAAATGCATGAATAAAATAAATAACAATATTATTACCCAGCCCTGCTCAGTTCTTCTAATAATGTTAAGTACCAAGTAATAAAGCTGTAATTTTTTTTAGAATCCAGTAACACTTACTGACTTAAAGCACAGATTTCTTAAGTATCTTTTCATTATTTTTTATTGGCATGATGAATTATAAAATAAATTTTATGCGATGGTAGTTATTACATCATCTGTGTTCCTTTCTTGAAAATAAAAATATCTGTTTCTAGTATAGGGAAATGGATTCATAGATGTATTGCTTTTCAAATTAGTAAATTTTCTGTAAGTTAAATTTATTGCTATGTCTTTGCTCTTTTAATTTCTTATTTTTAAATTGAAAATAGGAATAAAATACTTGCAAAATTTTTGTGGGATATTAAGTTTTATAGCCATTGACCTAAATAGAATATATTCTTTCCTGGCTTATGTTTCATAAACTGGAGATGTTAGATATCCTTCCAAAAATCATATAAGCCTCATAAAATGTATGATTTTTCTAATGCGATAGTTTACAATTTGAAGATTCTTAGACCATTGTTTAGATTTGGTAACAATTTGTTTGCCAGAAAATAGTCTCTCTTAAAATAATACCGAAATCTTCAATTATGTAGCTGTTCCTAATTTATATTAGACCTGGAATTCTGGCAAAAATCAAGTAGCGTCTCTATAGATTTATTTTCACTCTTTAAAGAAAATGGAAACTTGGTGGTCCACAAAGCACACCATGGTAAAATGTTCAAACTACATTTAAAAGATTAGGACTGTTTATTCATCTTAGCTAGAATTTAAAATCATGTTAATAGCAGGGTTTGACTCTTTTTTTATTAGTTTGGTTATTGCTGAATTAGTCTAATATTATTGATCTAATGATTGATCAAATAAAACAATATAGTAAATAATTAATTTATCAGAAATTAAGATGTCTTAAAATACCAAATCACTTTAAACATTTTTAAATAAACTTTTGGGAACTGGTAATAGTCAAACATAATTTTTAATTGATACTTAACATTTTCTTAATGGTTTATTCAATAACCAGAAATTTAAAAGTAAAATGCCAAGGACAATTTGTCATTGACCTCTTTTAGCAAATATTTACAAAGAAAAAAAGACACTGTGATTAAAATTTTGAATGTGTGAAACGATAAGTCAGTGAGTCAGTGCCTTGGCTTCCCTTAGTAAGGATTAAACATCTTAATTAAAAATAATCTTTTATCTCATCCAAAGTTAAGTCCAACTAACTTTTTGAAAGCAGTTAAGTATCACAAGCTTTTAAGAAAGGAGCCAGAACATTAAAGGAAATAGAGTATTAGTTCAGCAATATTTATCTAAGGCCACCTAGAACCACTTTGTGTGAAATAATTCATGATTTAACCTAGATGTGGATTTCCAGATTTTCTAGTGATTTCAAATCTCTTTTAAGGAATAGAACAAAATCTTATTTGAAATCCTAATATGCAAAGTAGTTTAAAGTCGTGGAGCTTCACTGTGTCAGTTTGTGTCAGCCTGTTTAATTCTCCATCCCAGAGAACTGTACAAATTCTAGGATTTTCCTGAACATCGTTTGAAAATCATGGCATCCCGTCTTTTGATGAAAACATTAAAGAAACAGAGTTAAATAATAGTAGATTTAGGACTAGAACTCTGTTCTCCAACTTCATTCTCATTCTTTCTATTAGATTTTTAAGCTTAAGTCAGCAGTACAATATAAATGATTATAAGTATGATTTCAGAATTGAATATATCTGAGTTTAATACCGGTTTCACTACCAACTGTTGCTAAGAGCAAGTTTAAAACTCTAAGTCTCATCTTCTTCATTTTTATGAGGATTAAATGAGATGGCTTATGTGAAGGACTCACCATAGCACCCTTCCATACTAAGTGCTCACTAAGTATTAGCTATTATTACTGTTACTTCAAAGTTTAGCACACTGTTGTTGGCTGCTAAAATGTCAAAGTTACGCAGATGTTAAAATAATTAAAAAGAGAGGAATGGGGAAGTTTGAGTACTATATAGACTAAAACAAAATTAAACATCTTTTTTATACAAAAGAATGTAAAAAATGGGAATAAACAAAAGGCAAAAGAAGGGAACTAGAATTTAAAAATTTAAATAAATAGGGATATTGATAATTTAACAACCAAAACAGGGACTGATCAAGTCCCAGGGATCCCACCATTTGATACTAGCTGGAAATCTTAACCTTTCCAGAGTTTATTTCTTATCCTCTTTATATGTACTGAAACCTCCACCCACCCCTGCCTGTGTAGTTATCAATAATCAGGATAGGGAGAAATGTCTCTCTCATTTGGTTTAACTACAGAGAGGTGACTGTATCCTGTACGGAAGTTGTTCTTGACCCATTGCTCAAATCCTGACCACTGGTGTTACCAGTAGCATAATACAATGGTGCCGACAGTTTTTCAAAAGGGTTTGGTTTACTCTGATGAAGAGTGATCCCTGAAAATGGAACCAGGTTCTGGACTCGAAAAGTCAAGATTTTCTCAGTTCCTTTACCGAGATTCAGGCTGTGATAGACACATCCTGCTAGACATCAGGGCAATCCTTTTACACAAAGGGCCTCATGTATCACAGCTTTTGGAGATTGCTAAATTACCAAATCACTATGGAGTTCACAAACACTACTATTTCCCAGGGCATAAAATGAACTTGGGAGGGTCTGAAGGAGAGTAATGTGAGGTATTTGCTCCATTCGAAACACTATTCAGCTGTCTTTCTCTCTAATTCAATGCCATGTTTAGCACACTGATTTTGTTTTTCTCTGTGTTTGTGGTTACTTAATCTTTAATGTTCCATGGCCTTTTCCTACCAATGGCTTTGGCCAGGACCACCCAACCACCCATTTATCATGAATCACTCTCATGCTAAATCCTAGGGAAATGGCGTCAAAGAAGATTGGTTATTTTCTTCCCAGAAGACTTCTACACTTATAATGCAAATTCACAGAATACCCCCTTGTCAATATTATCAATTTAAAGCTCCCCAGGGCAGAGGCCTGCTTCCTACACATCTCACATACCTAACAGGGGTCTGCCATATTTGCAAAAGTGGGATCTCACTATTACTGAACAAAATGCCCTGGATACCTTTTTACCAGAGCATTTTCAGCATCAGGCTGTACCTTTACAATATGTATCCATGTATAAAAATGGACAGACTCACATATAAGGGAATACAAGAAAGGAATAATTGTGACTCAATGTTAATGATTTCAAGGGAGAAAGTGACAACTAATCAGAGGTTTGATAATTTTGCTGGTTTCATCAAGTAAAAGATGCAGTTACCCCAAAAAAAAAAAGTAAGGAGTGATTGCACTTAGTTGGAAATCAACAAAATTGTTAATTATTTCAGAAAATTGTAATACAAACAGTAACACTGCTTGGGGTATTAGATTTGTTAGTACAAAACAATCAAAACAAAACCTGTGTGAACCTATGTGCTTCACTCAAGGTGATTCTATATGTAGGTGCAAACAATGGACTCTTTCACTATGTCTTCTAATGAAGTCTTGTCAAAACATTTAGATTGAAATATATATTGTTTTATTAAAAATTAATATTGTATATTGATTAGCTTACAATCATGGTATAATATCGGTATTTTGGAAATTACGTACGTAAGTTACATTATGTATGATTTTCATTTTAGGGTAGTAAAAAGGGAGTTATAAAATATTTGTTATAAAAAAAGATTCTGACTGAGATTTTTTTTATAGGCATAGGCTGAGAACTACCATACCAAAGGAACCCAGATATAGTTACTGTTAACAGATTTTTAAAAATTATTAAAGGTTCTTTTTTTCCTACTATAAAAATTATCACAAACTGAGTAGCTTAAAACAGTAGAAATTTACTCTCTCACAGTTCTAGATAATGGAAGTCTACAATCAATCAATGGAGGGCCAGGCTCCCTCAGAAACCTCTGGGGGAGAATCATTCTTTCTCTCTCCCAGCTTCTGGTAACCTTGGACATTTCTGGGCTTGTGGCAGCCTAACTCCAATCTCTGCCCTGTCTTCGCATGGCAATCTCCCCTCTGACCCTCTTTGACTTCTATTCTTAAAAGGACACCAGTCAGATTACATTAAGGCCCACTTTAATATCTTCATCATAACCTGATTACATCCACAAAACCCCATTTCCAAATAGTCACAATCACAGGTGCTAGAGGTTAGGATTTCAGCATACCTCTTTGCGGAGACACGATTCAATCCATAATGGGCTTATTGTAAAAATATATATAGAGAGAAAGTATAGAATATTTTCAAGTACATTTAGTTATAAATAAAACTTGAACATAATTTTTATTATAGTATTTTGCTATTTAATTAGAAGTGAAATGTAGACAAACATTTTAAAGTAAAAATTAGATAAATAGGTTCAAGCTCTTACTACACACAGCCAAATTGCTTTGCAGAAAGTTTATGCTGTGTTTGCTCTCTTTAGTAGTATAATTTTATGTCAAATCATAGGTCCTCCAGAATTGTGCATAGCCTTGGTGTACCTATCTAATGAAGTCTGGGGCTTCTATATATTTATTTGTTTACTTACAGTATTAATAGAAGTAAATGCTAGTACTGGCAAATGGCATGTTAAGATAAAATAAACCAAACTACTTCTCATTTGTAGATGATGGTTCTAATGAAATAAATGTTTTATTATTAAAGTTTGAACCAAGCTTTTTACTGGCATATCACTTGCTGTTACCAATACAAGCAAATAAGAACTCTAGAGAATTCTATAGGCAGGGTGTGCAAAATTATGCTGGAAACGAAAAATTTAAACATAAACAAATATTTATTTATTTAATATTTATTCAGTATGTATTTCCTTACTCAATATTACAAATTTAGTAAAGTTCTTTACTAAATTAAAATAAAAATTCATTTTAAGACCAATATGTCACTTTTCTTCCTGAGAATGCTATTCAATTAAAACTGAGACATCAAAGTTCTTATACACAAAGAGTTTCATTATGCAACCTCATTATGAGGTCTAAATTACTGGATATATGAATATATTTAAAGTAAACTATGGATACTACCAATACAATCTTGCAAAGACAACAATTCACTATGTTTTAAATTTTGGCTCCCTAGAAATCAAGCTTGAAGCACAGCCCACATGCAAATGCTTTATTAGGATGAAGAGTACAGTCACAGAGCAACAAAATAAGGATAAATGGGGTAAAAAAGAGAAAAAGTGGGAAAATAAATACAAGATTGTGTATTGCAGAGATGGCCATGACTTCATAGACTACACGGTTGGCTATGTATCCACATGAGATGTTTCTGGAGAGTTGGTATGAAGCCACAGTGATATGGTTTGGCTCTGTGTCCAACCAAATCTCAACTTAAATTGTACCTCCCTGAATTCCCACATGTTGTGGGAGGGACCCAGGGGAAGGTAATTGAATGATGGAGGCTGGTCTTTTCCATGCTATTCTCATGACAGTGAATAAGTATCACGAGATCTAATGGGTTTATCAGGGGTTTCCACTTTTGCTTCTTCCTCATTTTTCTCTTGCCGCCACCATGTAAGAAGTGCTTCTCATTTCTCACCATGATTCTGAGGCCTCCCCAGCCATGTGGAACTATAAGTCCAATTAAACCTCTTTTTCTTCGCAGTCTTGGGTATTCTTTATCAGCAACGTGAAAACAGACTAACACAGTAAATTGGTAACAGTAGAGTGGGGTGTTGCTAAAAAGATATCCAAAAATGTGGAAGTGACTTTGGAATTAGGTAAAAGGCAGAGGTTGGAACAGTTTGGAGGGCTCAGAAGAAGATAGGAGAATGTGGGAAAGTTTGGAACCTCCTAGAGATTTGTTGAATGGCTTTGACAAAAATGCTGATCATGATATAAATAATAAGGTCCAGGCTGAGGTGGTCTCAAATGGAGATGAGGAACTTGTTGGGAACTGGAGCAAAGTTGACTATTGTTATGCTTTAGCGAAGAGACTAGCAGCATTTTGCCCCTGCCCTAGAGATTTGTGGAACTTTGAACTTGAAATAGATAATTTAGGGTACCTGGCAGAAGAAATTTCTAAGCAGCAAAGCATTCAAGAGGTGACTTGGGTGCTGTTAAAAGCATTCAATTTTAAAAGGGAAACAGAGCATGAAAGTTCAGAAAATTTGCAGTCTGACTACGTGATAGAAAAGAAAAACCCATTTTCTGGGGAGAATTCAAGCCAGATGCAGCAATTTGCATAAGTAGCAAGAAGCTTAATGTTAATCCACAAGACCATGGGGAAAATGTCTCCAGGCTATGTCAGAGACCTTCACAGAAGCCCCTCCCATCACAGGCCCAGAAGCCCAGGAGGAAAAATTGGTCTCCTGGGTCAGGCTCAGGGTCCCCATGCTGTGTGCAGCCTAGGGACTTTGTGTCCTGTGACCCAGTTGATCTAGCCATGGCTGAAAGGAGCCAACATAGAGCCTGGGCTGTGGCTTCAGAGGGTGGAAGCCCCAAGCCTTGGCAGCTTCCATGTGGTATTGAGCCTGCAGGTGCACAGAAGCCAAGAACTGAGGTTTGGGAACCTCCACCTAGATTTCAGAAGATGTATGGAAATGCCTGGATGCCCAGGCAAAAGTTGGCTGCTGGGGTGGGCCCCTCATGGAGAACTTTTGCTAGGGCAGTGCAGAAGAGAAATGTAGGGTTGGAGCCCCCACAGAGAGTCCCTACTGGGGCACTGCCTAGTGGAGCTGTGAAAAGAGGGCTATTGTCCTCCAGACCCCAGAATGGTAGACCCACTCAGAGCTTGCATCATGCACTTGGAAAAGCAGCAGGCACTCAACACCAGCTCTTGATAGCAGCCAGGACAGAGGCTGTACCCTGCAAAGCCACTAGGGTCAATCTGCCCAAGACCATAGGAACCCACCTTTTGTATCAGCATGACCTGGATGTAAGATCTGGAGTCAAAGGAGATCATTTTGGAGCTTTAAAATTTGACTGCCCCACTGGATTTCAGAGTTGCGTGGGCCCTGTAACCTCTTTGTTTTGGCCAATTTCTCGCATTTGGAATGGCTGTATTTACTCAAAACCTGTACCCCCATTGTATCTAAGAAGTAACTAGCTTGTTTTTGATGTTGCAGGCTCATAGGCAGAAGGGAATTGCCTTGTCTCAGATGAGACTTTGGACTGTGGACTTTGGGGGACTTTTGGGAAGACATGATTGAATTTGAAATGTGAGGACATGAGAGTTGGAGGGGCCAGGGGTGGAATGGCATGGTTTGGCTGTGTCCCCACCCAAATCTCAACTTGAATTGTATCTCGTAGAATTCCCACATTTTGTGGAAGGGACCCAGGGGGAGGTAACTGAATCATAGGGGCCGGTCTCTCCCATGCTATTTTTGTTGTTGTGAATAAGTCTCACAAGATCTAATGAGTTTATCAGGGGTTTCTACTTTTGCTTCTTCCTCATTTTTCTCTTGCCTGCCACCATGTAAGAAGTGTCTTTCATCTACCACCATGATTCTGAGGCCTCCCCAGCCATGTGGAACTGTAAGTCCAATTAAACCTCTTTTTCTTCCCAGTCTCAGGTATGTCTTTATCAGCATCATGAAAATGGACTAATTCACACAGCCTCTCAGAACAGGCCTTCACAGGGCAAATAAAGGGAATGAACTCATGACTGAAGACTCACTTTCTTACACCTTTCATGTGTAGACTTATTAAAGTGAATTATTTAATGATGCCACATATCTGAAATCTGCACATACCAAGAAATCTTCATGTGATGGATAGCAGAAACTACTCAGGAGGATTAATGTATGTCTTAGGCGTCAATAAACCACCCAAAGTTGGAAATAACTTCTAGACCTGTAACTTCTGGTGATGATAAATAATAAGATAAATAATAATAATGTAATGAAGGATGTGGCTTTGATGATCTTAAACCAAAATTAAATTTATTTTGGTTGAGCTATCAGATAGCTCAACAGACACTGGAGCACCAGGTATAAGAAAATGGGAAAGAACAAGGAAGATGTGATGGTTAATTTTATGTGTCAACCTCATTGGACCATGGAGTATCCAGATATTTGAGTAAAACATTATTCTGGGTATGTCTGTGAAGCTGTTTCTGAATGAGATTAACCTTTGAATCTGTAGACAGTTTCTTCAGGAAAAGTCTGATGCTATCCATTTTCATACTCCTTCCAGTGTGTTGTGAGAAAAGTGACCTGTTTTGCTAAATTCAGGATACTGTCTATCTAAAATATTTTCAACACCCCAAAAATGTTAGGAACTAAAAACAAATTTTAGAGAAAAGTCAAACAATATTCGCACACTCTAAAAAAAAATTCTACAAAATTAGTTAATAAGATTTTACAATATTCAGTTACCTTCCAATCCTTCAAAAGCTGAAAACAGAGTTTCCCTTTTTCTATCTGAAGAAATAATAATTGTAGACCCCTCTCTATGTGTTAGGAACAGTAGGAGGCATCCTCACCTGTGCTACGTCATGCAACCTACACAAGCTTGAAAGGTGCACATATTGCAACTGATTAAGCCTCTTTAGTTTAGTGGCACATCACCTGTCTCTTTTTCCCCCTGTGAAATTTATTTGTTAAAAAATAGAGTAGTAAGTCATTGAAATTGTTCACCATCTAGGGTTTATTGAATGCATTAAATTCATGTCCAGTTTAAATTTTCTTCATTTTTAAAATGACTACTTCAGAAGTAGGGTTCTCTTCTATTACCCAGAGACACAGATTTGGTTTGTCTCTCTTTTTGTGATGTTAACAGCGATTTGTATATGCTTGATTCTTTCTCTCTTTACAATTTTGAAGTTAATGGGTCAGTTTGCTCACTTGGTTTAACACTGAACTATTAGTTAATATTTTAGTATCACTACATACCTACAGATCTAAGCATATCTGATGCAATGCAATCTATTCTGGTGATTATCTTTATTGATGATCTAATTGTCCCATTTGTATTTAGTGAGCGCCTCTTCATATGAATGCTTTGGGCATAATCTCTTGCTCTCTGAAATGGTACTTTACTGTCTCATCTTGCATATTTCCTGCTCCAGCCCTAAAATCAGCCATTTATCTAAAAAAAAGCCATAGTCTCTTTTACTGGGAAATTATATTTAGGCATAATATGGACCCTTAATGGCATTGTTTTTCATTATTATAAAATAGGTGCTGCTTCTTCGATCAGAAATTTGAGCCAGTGAAAAATTTTTGCTTTACATCAATGCTCTTGGATCAACAACCAAAGCTGTATCAAACAAATTTTCTTGTTAGGGACTTAGACAATATCAGAGTAAAGAAGAAATATAATAAAATTCTAAAAAGCATTGTCATCGAAGAAATTGACCAACTCCCATAGACTTCTTTCCTTCTCATTTTATATTTTGTTTCCAAATTGATATAAAAACAGGTGTTTGAAAGTTTTGGAATTACCATATCCTATTTCAGGTACTATTATCTGCCATATTATGTACTGTGTCACTGGACTTCTGCCTCCTAGCCCAGTGTCTACGCTCATGTCATAGTGCTGTGCTACCCATTGACAGTAAAGAAGGGCATCTCCAAATATTCCTCACACTGGAGCTGTCTATGAATTGTATAGCTGAAAGCAGTCAGAGATCTTCTCAACAAACATAGCTTTTATGTTGGAATATCTATTTTTATTTCTAATAGATAACAATACTTCACAGTATTTGATGTGTTTGGTGCTTTCTGAAAGACATTGCCATATATAGTATTCTACTGCTAACTTTGGATATATTTCTAAAATTCTCAGGCAATTGAAATACTTCAAATCTTGTAAAAAAAATAAGACTGGGAATCTGACAAGTGAGTGAAACTATTAGAAAGTTATAATTTTTACAATTATAACAAAGGTAAAACAATGAATATAGCACACTAAATAAAGGAATAATCAATGTATCTTAAATTAGCCTTTTAGGAATAGATGTGTTATAAATAAATAAGTGAATTAATAAGAGTTTTGCTTTGTAATAATGGCATCCTTAGGTACTGGAGTTTTACCTAGCTTCAGCATCCCACCACCATCTCTGGACTCATGAAATAATTCGAGTGCTTCAGAGGGCAAAAGCTCTGGTCAAACTTCATTGAAGCCAATCGGACAGACATTATTGCTATGTGCTTTTAAAACTTTAACTGCATTCAATGTTCCACCCACAATGACTTTAGGCCAACATAACACCAAGCATATCTGGAAACTTTGGTCTGGCTCTGCCAGAGTCATACACTATTACTTGCTTCCTTCCTAATAGCTATAGCCGTACACTTCTAAGGGCTGCATTCATATTCTTTTTTTTTTTTTTTAGCATTCTTGATTTTCTTGATTATCTTACTGCTAAATCCTCTAGTTCCATTAATTCTTTAGCCTTACTGTTTTATTAATTTCCATTGATTGCATATAAGTCATGCCTGTGAAGTCGTTTGCTCTCCAATAAACATTTATTTAAACTGACTAATACAAATTATATACTTATCATGTACAAAATTTTGTTATGAAATATTTCTACATTGTGAAATGACTAAATCAATCTAATTAACATATGCATTACCTTGCATGCTTATCAGTTTTTTGAGGGGGGGGTGGTGAGAACACTTAAAATCTACTTGATTAGCAGTTTTCAAGAATACAACACATTTTGTTAACTATAGGCACCATGTTGTACAATAGGTCTTGCAAACTTATTCCTTCTATCTAACTGAAATTTTATATTCTTTATCCAACATCTCACCAACTCCCTGCCCCTCCAGCCCCAAGTAACCTGCATTCTGCTACTTATTTACATGAGTTCCACATTTTCAAATTCCATATGTAAGGGAGATCATGAAGTATATGTCTTCCTGTGCCTGGTTTATTTTACTTAGCATAATGGCTACCAAGGTCATTAACACTGTCACAATTGGCAGAATTTCCTTCTTTGTTATGGCTAAAGGATATTCCATTGTGTATGTATACCACCTTTATTTATCATTCAATTGTTGTTAGACACTTAGGTTTATTCCATAGATTGGCTATTACGAATAATGCTGCAATGAACATGAAAGTGCAGGTATCTCTTTGACCTACTGACTTCATTTCCTTTGGATATATTACAGAATTGGGACTGTAGCTCTATTTTTAATTTTTTTAGAAACTTTCACACTGTATTCCATAACGGCTGTATAAATTTATATTCCCAGCTATAGTGTGCAAAAGTTCTCTATTCTCTACATCCTATCCAAACACTTTTATTTTATTTTATTTTTTATACTAGCTGAAATGATTAGGCTTTGTGTCCCTACCCAAATCTCATCTTGAATTGTTGTTCCCATAATCCCTACATATCATGGGAGGGACCCAGCGGGAGGTAATCGAATCATGGGGACAGTTACCCCCATGCTGTTCTTGTGATAGTGAGTGAGTTCTCATGAGATCTGATGGTTTATAAGGGACTATTTCCCCTTTTGCTCAGCACTTCTCCTTCCTGCTGCACTGAGAAGAAGGTGCTTTTATTCCCCTTTGCCTTCTGCCATGATTGCTAGTTTCCTAAGGGCTTCCTAGCCAGGCAGAACTATGAGTCAATTAAACCACTTTTTTTTTTTTTAATAAATTACCTAGTCTTGGGTATTTCTTCATAGCAGCTTGAGAATGGACTGATATAGTAAATTGGTAACAGGAGTAGTGAGGCGCTGTGGTAGATACCCAAAAATGTGGAAGTGGCTTTGGAACTGGGTAAGAGGCAGAGGTTGAAACAGTTTGGAGGGCTCAGAAGAAGACATGAAAATGTGAGAAAGTTTGGAACTTCCTAGAGACTTGTTAAATGGCTTTGACCAAAATGCTGAGAGTGATATGGACAATGAAGTCCAGACTGAGGTGATCTCAGATGAAGATGAGAAACTTCTTGGGAACTAGAATAAAGGTGACCCTTGCTATAGTCTAGCAAAGAGGCTGGCAGCATTTTGCCCCTGCCCTAGAGATCTGTAAAACTTTGAAATTGAGATAGATGATTTAGGATATCTGGTAGAAGAAATTTCTAAGTGGCAAAGCATTCAAGAGGAAGCAGAGCATAAACCTTGAAAAATTTGCAGCCTGGTGATGCGGTAGAAAACAAAGACCCATTTTCTAGGGAGAAATTCAAGTTGGCTGCAGAAATTTGCATAAGTAACCAGGAACCGAATGTTAATAGCCAAGACATGGGGGGAAATGTCTCCAGGGCATGTCAGAGACCTTCACACCTGCCACTCCCAACACAACCTAAAAAGGGAAAAACAATATTGTGGGTAGGGCTCAGGGCTCCCCATCTCTGTGCAGCCTTGGGACATGGTTCTCTGAGTCCTAGCTGCTTCAGCTCCAGCTGTGGCTAAAAGGGGCAAAGTGCAGCTCTGGTCATTGCTTCAGAGGTTGCAAGCCCCAAGTCTTGGCAGCTTACATGTGCTGTTGGGTCTGCGAGCACACAGAATTCAGGAAATAAAGTTTGGGAGCCCCCACCTAGATTTCAGAGGATGTATGGAAATGCCTGGATGTCCAGGCAGAAGTTTGTTGCAGGAGTGGCGCCCTCATGGAGAACCTCTGCTGGGGCAGTGTGGAAGGGAAATGTAGGATTGAAGACCTCACACAGAGTCCCCACTGGAGTACTGCCTAGTGGAGCTGTGAGAACAGGGCCACCATCCTCCAGCCCCCAGAATGGTAGATCCACCAACTTGCACTGTGTGCCTGAAAAAGCCACAGACACTCAATGTCAGCCTGTGGAAGCAGCCAGGAAGGGGGGCTGTACCCTGCAAAGCCACAGGGGTGGAGCATCCCATAGCTGTGGGAGCCCACCTCTTGCATCAGTGTGACCTGGATGTGAGACAGGGAGTCAAAGGAAAACATTTGGGAACTTTATGGTTTAATGGCTTCCCTATTGGATTTTGGATTTGCATGGGGCCTGTAGCCTCTTTGTTTTGGCCAATTTCTCCCATTTAGAGTTGGTGTGTTTACCCAATGCTTGTATCTCCATTTTATCTAGGAAGTAGCTAACTTGCTTTTGATTTTACAGGCTCATAGGTGGGAGGGACTTGCCTTATTTCAGATGAGACTTTGGACTTGGACTTTTTGGTTAATGCTGGAATGACCTAAGATTTTGGGGGACTGTTGGAAAGGCATGATTATGTTTTGAAATGTGAGGACATGAGATTTGGGAGGAACCAGGGGTGGAACGATATGGTTAGGCTTTGTTTCCCCACACAAATCTCATCTTGAATTGTAGTGCCCTTAATCCCCACATGTCATGAGAGGGACCCAATGGGAGTTAATTGAATCACGGGGGCAGTTACCTCCATGCTGTTCTTGTGACGGTGAATGAGTTCTCATGAGATCTGATGGTTTTTTGTCTGTTGGTTGGTTTGTTAAGACAGAGTCTTGCTCTGTCACCAGGTTGGAGTGCAGTAGTGCAATCTAGGCTCACTGCAACCTCTGTCTCCCAGGTTCATGCAATTCTCATGCTTCAGCCTCCCATGCAGCTGGGATTACAGGCACCTGCCACCACGCCTGGATAATTTTTGTATTTTCAGTAGAGATGGGGTTTACCATGTTGGCCAGGCTGGTCTTGAACTCCTGACCTCAGGTGATCCACCCATCTTGGCCTCCCAAAATGCTCAGATTAAAAACATGAGCCACTGCACCCAGTTGATCTGATGGTTTTATAAGTGGCTCTTTACACCTTTGCTCAACACTTCTCCTTCTTGCCACCCTGTGAAGAAAGTGCCTTTCTTCCTCTTTACCTACTGCCATAATTGTAAGTTTCCTTAGGCCTCCCCAGCCATGCATAACTGTGAGTCAACTAAACCTCTTTTCTTCATAAATTACCCAGCTTTGGCTATTTCTTCATAGCAGTGTGAGAATGGACTAATACAGTAGCCATTGCAACAAGTGTGTGTGAGGTGATATGGTTTTAGTTTGCATTTATCTGATAATTAGTGATTTGAGCATTTTTATGTACCTACTGTATATTTGTTTGTCTTCTCTTGAGAAATATATATTCAGATGCTTTTCCCATTTTGTAATAAAGTTATTTATTATATTGTCATTGATTGTGTTTTTCTCATATATTTTAGGTATCAACCCCTTATCACAGGTATGGTTTACAAATATTTTCTCCAATTCTGTAGATTATCTCTTCTCTCTATTTTTTTCCTTTGTAGAAGCTTTTTAGCTTTATATAAACTCATTTGTCTATTTTTGCATTCTTGCCTTCACTTTTGGGTGCATTTCCAAAAAATTACTGCTCAGACCAAAGTCATGGAGCTTTTTCCCATTTTCTTGTTAGTTTTACAGCTTCAGGCCTTGCATTTATGTCTTTAATCCATTTGGGATTGATTTTTGTAAACAGTGTGAGATAAACATCCAATTTCATTCTTCAGTAAGTGAATATTCAGGGTTTCAGCATCATTTATTGAAGAGGGTGTCCTTTTCCCATTGTGTGTTCTTGGCAACTTTGTCAAAAGTCAATTGAATGTAAATGTGTGAGTTTATTCTGGGTTCTCTATTCTGCTCCATTGGTCTATGAGTCTGTTTTTATGGTAGTATCATGCTATTTTGATTACTATAGCTTTGTAGTATATTTTGAATTTAGGTAGTATAATGTCTCTAGTTTCAGTCTTTTTGCTCAAGATTTCTTTGGCTATTCAAAGAATATGGATTGTTCTATGTATATTTTGGAATTCTTTTTCTATTTCTATGAAAGTGTCATTGGAATTTGGATAGGGTTTGCATTGATTCTGTAGATAACTTTACATAGTATGAACATTTTAAGAATAGTAATTCTTCCAGTCTATGAACACAGGATATCTTTCCATTTATTTGTATCTTCTTCATTTTTTTTCATCTGTATTTTCAGTGTACAGGTATTTCACTTCCTTGGGTGAATTTATTCCAGAGCCTTTCATTGATTTATTTAGCCATTGTAAATAAGATTTTTAAATATCTTTTTCATATAGTTTATATTTAGTGTATATAAATGTTACTGATCATTATATGATTTTGTACCCTGAAAATTGACTGTATTTTGTTTATTATTGTAGTAGTTTTTGTTTAGTCTTTAGGGTTTTCAGTATGGAAGATTATGTCACCTGCAAAGAGGGACAGTTTAATTCTTCCCTTCTGATTTGGATGACTTTTATTTACTTCCCTTGTGTAATTGCTCTGTCTAGAATTTCCAGTACCATGTTAAATAGAAATGTCAAGGATAGACATCCTTGTCTTGTTCCTAATCATGAAAAAAAAAAGATTTCACGTTTTCATTATTTAATATGTTAGCTGTAGGTTTGGCATATATGGCCTCTATTGTGTTTAGTTACATTTCCTCTATATCTAATTAGTTGAGAGGTTTTATCATAAAGGTATGTTGAACTTTGTCAAATGCTTTTTTTCTGTGTTGAGATGATCACATGGTTTTTGTTCTTCATCTGTTAATGTGGTGTATCACATTTATAGATTTCATATGTTAAACCATCCTGGCACTGCTGTGATAAATTCCACTTGATCAAGGTGAGTGTTCCTTTTGATGTAATGTTAAATTCAGTTTGATACTATTTTGTTGTGAATAATTGTATCTATGTTCATAAGGGGTATTGGCCTGTAATTCTTTTTCTTGTAGTGTCCTTGTCTGGTATCAGGATCATGCTGGCCTTGTAAAATGAGTTTGAAAGTATTCCCTTATCTTCTTTTTTTTGGGAAGAGTTTGAGGATTATTAGTTTTCATTATTCTTAAATGTTTGGAAGAATTTAGCAGTGAAGGCATCAGGTCCTGGGCTTTTCTCTGATGGAAAGCTTTTTATCAGAGATTCAATCTTCTGACCTATTACTGGTCTGCTCAGATTTTCTATTTCTTCCTGATTTCAGTCTGTAAGTTACATGCATCTAGGAATTTATCTATTTCTTTAGGGTACCAAATTTTTTGGCATATAATTTTGATCTCTAATGATTCTGTTTGCATACAATTTTGATCTCTGATGATTCTTTGTATTTCTGTAATGTCAGTTATAATGTCTCCTCTTCACTTCTGAAGAGTCTTCTCTCTTTTTTCTTAATCTAGCTAAAAGTTTATTACTTTTGTTTATCTTTTCTAGAAAACAACATGTTGTTGATCTTTTCTATTATTTCTTTAGTCCCTATTTTATTTATTTCTGCTCTGATCTTTATTATTTCCTTTCTGCTGCTAACATTGGGCTTTGTTTGTTCCTATTTTTTAGTTATGAAGTGTATAATGTTAGAATGTTTATTTAGGATCTTCCTTTTTTATAATGTAGATATTTATTGCTATAAACTTTGCTCTCAGAACTGCTTTTGCATCCCTTTAGTTTTTGTATATTTTTTTCCATTTGCATTTGTCTCAAAATATTCTTTAAATTTTCTTTTTAACTTCTTCATTGACCCATTGATTGTTCAGGAACACAGTTATTTAATTTCCATGTATTTGTTTATTTTCTAAAATTTGTCCTGTTATTCATTTCTAGTTTCATACCATTGTGGTTGATTAAACAGAGACTTGATATGATTTCAATTTTTTTAAGTTTGTTAAGACTTGTTTTGTGGCCTAACATACGTTCTATCCTGGATCTTGAACCACTACAGACATTTCAATAGTTGAGGAAAAAGTACACAGAAGAAATCTAATACACAAAGGTAAACCTTAATACAGAAAATAAACTCACTGTTTGGGAAGCGTTATTACAATTAAACATCAGGCTGTTCTGACAGTTCACATTTTATAAGACATTGAGTGGTTTGATGAAAACCTAGGGATTCTGATTCCTAATTAAATGCTTTTTTGGTTCTAACATTCTATGTCTATTTTAAGGTTATAGATAATTTAAATAAGTTGCCTCTTAGATTTGTCACTCCTAACACCAAAAAGATGTCTCCAAACCTTAAAAAAAAGAGAAATAATAGTTGGGAAGGATTAATGTAACCAGTAGAATGCATCATCAGTTTTCATTAACCTCAATAGCATAATACAGCAAGATTTCTTAATGTTATAATCATTAATTTTTTTCTTCCCATAAACTGGTCCTTTATTTTATTTTCATGAACTTTTTGTTCAATGACTCACAAATGATTATTAATTTTATGTTAGGAGGGTATTACTTTATTTCTTGATTACATTACTTAATTACATGACTTTGAGTCAAGATATATATTTGCCTCAACAAGCTTTATAATGCTTATTAAATCTTTCTTTAAACTTTTTCCCTAACTAAAGAGAATACAAATTCTCTTTGCCCTCCTTTTCTTTCTGATTAGATTTTATCCCCTCTATTTAAAATAATGTAACTAGGCAGCAATATAATATTGTGTTGGAGTTTTGGTTTCTTTGAAACTGAGTTAATATTTGATTTCCCTTGAGATTCTGCAGTTATATTTCAAAGGCAGTTAGGCATAATTGTATATTTTGAACAAGAAAAAAAGGCAAACTTTTTAAAATTTTCTAAAACTTGATCAAGTCTTACCTTCTACAATTTTTAAATGGGAATTTACTTAAAAACCAAAACAAGAATGAACTATTTTAGTCTGAAATATATTATTTAATAAATAATTTATAAGTTGATATTTGAAGTGCTTAAATAAATTTTGAATTTAGAAGCCTATCAGCATTTATAAAGTTATGATTTTCATCTTTTTTATATCTGCTCTGTAAAGTTGTATTTTAAGACCTGTGAGTTCTACTGTTTACACAGATAAAGGAGCAGTGGAAAGAAAGATGTGGACCTACAGGGCTGATTTCATAAATTCATTATATTTCTCAGGCACTTCCCATACAATAGTCATCTATTATTTGATGTAATAATCATCATTTTTAAATGTGAAATCTTTAAATAAATTAATTTACCTTGCTAGGGATTGCTTTGGAGAATCAAATTAGAATTTATTCTGCTTTAACCATCAAAGGCTAAGTATGTTAATTAAGGCTAGAGGAGGCAAAGAAAAATTCAAAGTGAGAGGCTGAATGGGGCTGGGGGCTGTTTAGCCAAGTGCTAAATGTTGTGTTGCAGAACTGGTTGAGATTAGAGAGGAATCATGGAAAGGAACAGAAAACTAGAAATGAGAGAAAAATTTAGAAAGTGATGGGAAAAAGATAATAGGAATATATGTTAGCTTAGGATCTTGAAGACAATCAATGTGGCAATGACTGGCCTATACAGACCTAATATTGGTTGGAAGTAGAGCATGCTGTGAAATGGACCTGCCTTTTTGGTTAAAAGGAGAAAAAACAAATAAAATAGCATTGCATGTTGACTGCTTTCATAATCTTTCACTCTACTGTTTTAATTGAATATTCCAAATGCTTCCATGAAGGTATTTTTAATCTTAGTTTTAACTATCATCAGTATAAAACTTTTAAAAAAACTTTTAATAATGAATCATTTATAAAGAATGTATCCAAGGGGATTTATTCTATTCATATTTTGCCCTACTACACACCCTCATCCCACATGGCCCAGCTAAGCTTCTTGTGCCAACTTTAAGATATCAAATTTGAACTCATTTCCCAAGTCTGGGCTAAGCTCCACATTTCCCCTACCAAATCCCTACTTTCCTGGTGCTTGGAGGAGAGTGGCAAAGAAGACATCTGCTTCTCCCTGCCCCCTACTTCTTAACCCATAACATCCTCAATAGCATCAGAATGAAATTAGCTTTGTCATGCTTTTTATTCATTCACAGATTGCATTAGGAAGAGTTCTTGCAATATTTGGAGAATAAAAAAAATTGATTTCCCTAAATATTAAAAGGTGAACCACAAATCTATTGACCTTTTATAATTTTGAGTTTTCTAGCAAAGAGTGTTGATTTTAGATTTAGTTCCACCTCTCACGGAATAGTGTATTTTAAGACAGCATTAATTTTGGGTTTTTTTTTTTTTTTTTTTTTTTTTGCTTTCACAGGCTTTCAAGCTTTCATTTTAAAAATACAAAGTGCATCACCCCAGTCCTGACGTGAGAGAGCAAAACTAACATTGTTGCTAAAAATCAATGCTAAACCTGCCAAGTATAATTTTTTTGGTGTTTTAGTATTGAGGCATTTTTTCTTACATGTCTCATGAGTATATCTTTGTTTCAACCTAAATGCCATAAAATATTTTTCTTGTTAAAAATATTGTAAAGAGATTTCTGTGACTGTAAATAGCACCATGGTTTTTTTGACCTCTAAATAAAAATGTTAAGAAATGTAACTATTTATTTGAAATGGCAAATTTATTTTTTTCTCATAATATAGAAAGTCAAATTTAACCTGTCTTATTTTTAACGCAATTGCTCGTTGTTCTTAATGCACCTTGATAACTCTTGGTTTAGGAAATAGGCAAATTTACATTTGTTTTCATTGCTGTTGTAATAAAACATTTATTTCAAAGTGGTAAATTATACCCATACACATACACAACCACACACACACACACACACACACACACACACACACACACGAAGAAAAAATATGTATCAAGTAGTGGCCTGCATTTTGGAAATGTAGCTTCCAAGTCTGAGTTAATGGAGTAGCATAATGTGAATCTACTCTTAACTAGGGAAATCTCTTTGATTCCTAGAATTATTGTTATCCTTTTGATTTACCTTGGTTTAAGGTGTAACACAGTTTTAAGTAAGTATTTTTCTCTGTTATGGTATGTTTTCCACATTTCTATGGGTCTGAATGAGAAGAAAAGTAAAAATACTCTATGTTTAAATCAGTAGTACAGAAAAAAATATAAAAAATTGATTCATACTTTGGAAATAACTAATTTACATTTGAATGCTATGAAAGCATTCATAATTTCTTCACATATGCTTACAAAACCTTCATTCGTCACCTGTTATTTCTCTTCTGAGAGCCAGTAAATTCTCGGGAAGTTATATCAGAATATTGAAGTTCTAGGAGTCTTTTTTGTGAATTTCTGATGAGGATATTTTTAAAATGATGATTTGAGGAGCTTCTCTGTTAAACACACATACGTGTTTTAGAATAAAGCATGACATTGTGAAAGAGAAAAAGACAAGAAAAGGTTAAAGCAAGGTGATAGAAATGGGTAAACGCGGTCTGGAAGCCGGTGGAAACAATCACCAGTGAATTGTCTTGTCATTGGCACTGCTCAAGTCCTGGTCATACATCACTTCACTTAGTCCTCCTAAAAATCCTATGAGGTAATTATCCTTTTATTCTTATTATCCACTCTTTCTAAATAAGGAAACTGAGGCACAGAGATAACTAGCCCGTGTTCTCAGAGTTAGTAATTACAGAGATTGGATTGAACATACCAGTCTGGTGCCAGAGCCCAGGCTCTTAGCCACTACATCTTGCTAACTCTCATTCTAAATATTTCATTGGTAAGAACAAAACTCAAAAAAGAAATTATAAAATGCCTGAAATTAAATAACCATGAAAGTTACAACAAAACTTGTGGGATGGATCTAAAGTTGTGCATAGAAACAAGTGGTATTCAGTGCATTAAAAACATATGAAAGATTAAAAATAACAGAGTAAGCATTCAAATTAGACTCTAAAATATAATAAACTTTAAAGTAGAAAGAAAAATGATAAAAAATAAGAGCAGAAATTAGTTAGTGAGAACTTAAGATAATCAAACAAATAATAGAGAATCTCGACACAGCATAGCTGAAGAAAATAGATTCTTAGACTAATGACTGAATTAACCCATCTAGAAAACAAACACAATTTTAAAAAGCTCAGAAAGAAAACAAAAGATGTAATATTAGAAACAAAAAACAAAGTTAAAAGGAAAGTAGATATTTAAATATTTTATAAAAATAATGTGTTTTATATCAATAAATTCAAATTATTAGTTTTGATGGACAATTTTCTAGAAAAAAATTACTAACATTAACTCAGTGAAAAATAAAAATTATATAATAAGAGAATAATTTGAGAAATTTAATTATTAGTTAAAAGTAATATTCTTCCAAAATCATGATAGAAAATCACTATCTTCATTTGAAAATGTTTTAACTAATAAAAATTTACAGCATACGTATGTGGAAACTGCAGAAGCAGTCCCATTAAAATCATTATCATTGGAAGAATGCCTATTACCACATCTATTATTTATAATTTTGCTGCAGGTCCTAATTAAATTTTTAAAATAATGATAGGAGTAAAGAAACTTTGGGAGCTCTCAATATTTGCCAGAAATATGATTGACCAAACATGAAATACAAGAAAAGTGATAAATCTACAAATGAAGGATTATAACTAATAAAGTTGAGGAAGATTTCTAGACATAAAATAAATATGAAAGGATACAATAAATATTTAAAATTCAATTTTCTGAAAATTAAAACATACATTGGGCATGATTCCTATAAAAATGTCAATCCTGCTTTTTTAAAAACAAAAGTTGAGAATTCTGAAATGAAAAAAAGAAAAAACAAGTTTGAGAAGAGTAAGATAATTTTAAAGACAAAACGGAAGGTGTAGAGAATTATCCAACCATGTATCAATATTTCCGTTAGAGCTAAAACATTCAGACGGACATTAGATCCAAGGTAGATAAATAGATAAATAGAATAACATATAGAATATAGGATAAAATAGAATAGCATATAGAATGTAGTATAGATCCATGTATACACTGAAACCTGTCAGATGTGATAAGTAATTTTTCAAATGAGAGGATGGCTCTCTAGAAAAATATAGCAGGTGATGAACCAGGAAGCTTTAGTAATTGTATTTGAAGAAATTATTAATGCTCTTCTTTTAAAAATTGCTCAAGTATGTGGCTAAGAGTTTTTTTAATGTCAAGCTCTCCATGTAGGAAAATACTGTTTAGCACCACACAAAAGAATTCATGATGGATTAAAGAGCTGTGTGAAAAATGAAATTATGGAATATCTAAAGAAATATAACAGCGTAGTGAAGGATATCTTAAATAAAACACAAAAATCAGTGTTCACAAGGGAAATGATGGATCCATTAACTACGTTAAACTTTAAATTGTGCATGTGACAGAAAAACCATAAACAAACTCTAAAGCCCATACTAGGAGAACATGTTTGTAAGTCAATTCTGCTGTAATGGTCTTTGAAAACGCAAATTCGTTCCAACTCAGTTGAAATAACTTAAGCATAATGAAGATTTCATGTTTGCTTATATGTGATTATATCTGGGGGAAAAAAAAAAAAACTAGGTGGAGAAAAAGCACTGCACCGAGCTGAACCAAGCAGTGTAATAGGACACAAAATACTCCTCTGTAGACACCACAAACATCTACCAGCTCCCTCAATTCACTGCGTGTGTGATAATCCACATCCACCCACATCTGGTGTTATAACTTTGTTTGATTTCAGATAACCTTATTTCCCACCACTTCACATTAGTGAATGGGCTGCAACCTGTCTAAGGCCCAATTCCAAAAGCACATATCTGCTCTTGGATAAGATGAAGTGTTATATTTATTGTAGTATTTATGTATTTCTTAACCATTTAACAAATGGAAAACTGTGCCATAATTTTTAAGTTTCCATTGTTTTAAATTTGTTACTAATGAAGTTTTTCAGTGTGTGTCCCGATTTTATCTTCTTTATAAACCCTGTGATTTTTATTGCAAGATTTTGCATACCGTGGTGATTTGTAGCAAAGTTCATATCCTGTTACGGCAAAACTATCTGTATACAGCACTCATATTAGTAGTTGCAGATTGGATATATATAAATAAACATAGAGAGCTTTCTACAAACCAGAAATAAAAAACAAACAACATTGTGGAAAAAATAATATGGTAGATAAATAAATGGCCACAAATTATTCGAAGTTTCTCCTACAAAAAGAGGGAATCTATTTTTGCGTCTTTTGAATCTTGGCATGCCTTGTGATTTGTTTTGACGACTAGAATGTAGCATCTTCTGGGATGACCGTGTAGCTCTTAGTTGTAAATAAATGTAGCAGAAAAGTTTAAGGCTGAGAAATAAACGTCTCACTTTCTTCCACCTCCTACTGGCTCTTCCAGTGCCATCTATCTTCTTTGTATAGTGTTATATGTTGTTATCAAATTTTCCCATCTGCTTATGTAAAATTATGAAATAAAACTGTCTTATAACTAGAATTTGCCATATTTTGCCTAATTAAAATAAATTCAGCCCAAGAGACTAAAACAATCATATTTGAGAGATTTTTAATGTTATTATTTTTAAACATATATCTATTTAAAATGCTAATATTCTTATTACAAACTCAAATATACGTTATTTATTTATTTATTCATTTATTTATTTTTGAGACGGAGTCTCGCTCTGTCGCCCAGGCTGGAGTGCAGTGGCATGATCTCGGCTCACTGCAAGCTCCGCCTCCCGAGTTCACGCCATTCTCCTGCCTCAGCCTCCCAAGTAGCTGGGACTACAGGTGCCGGCCACCAAGCCTGGCTAATTTTTTGTATTTTTTAGTAGAGACAATTAGCATGGCTGTTTAATCAGTTGCATCTATTTCTGTGCGTATTCAATTTAAACAATTATCCCCATGTCACAATAGATTGGAGAAAATAAGACAGTAGGAATGGGAGTAAAATAAGAGCAAAGATAGGTCCTTGTTATTGTATCATAATAGAAGGATAAAGAATAGAGTTAGTTTGGTTGCAGTACTAAAAGAAAGCAAGCTATGAATGGTAGAAACAAAAAACAAGTGATAAAACTACACACATGATTCTCCGTGGTGGGATAAAAAAGAGCAGAAAGAATAAGTCAAAACAGAGTCAGTGACAGGAAAGGGAGACACAAAGAATTATAAGATGACAATTTTGCAATTTAATATGTCTTAATTTAGCCATATTAGGTGGAAGATGATGGCTGGACTTTTCTTTGAATGGCCAACTTGCTTTAAATACAATAAGATAAGATACTTGAACTCAGAAGAAATTTAGGCTAAAGATAGAGTCTCTTCAGTGATCCTCGCAAAGATAGTCATCACCTAAGAGCAGATGAGTTATTTGTGGAAGAGGAATATACACAGAGAACAGAGAGCCAAAGCTTGACCAGCAGAATGTATATTATTCACTTTTATATCTAAACTGCACAGCAACTTTTTTAGAGTCATTAAAATACATACACACATACACACACAGGTCTGCCATTTCTGCAATTTCTTCCTAATGCACCAGGCATCTGTCTAAAGCAACAGCCAATGAGACCAGGAGATATTTTTGATAAAGTACATTTCAACCTCAAAGGTTCCAGCTGTCCATGATGCTATTCCATCTCAACAGATGGTACAAAGGGCTTAGAATGTTTTTCTTGGATTGTAAGATAGAGTTCTTTAAAAGATTCCTTACAGGTAGTTACTTTCACTGGCATTGCACTTTAATGCAAAAAAATACATTATTTGAAACTTAGTAGCCATTTAAATGGAAAGGCAAGATCTTATTGAGTCAAGAGTCATGCCAATACAGTCATAAGCTATGATTTACTCTATGTTTTATTTCTTTTAATGTCTTATAAGACAGGATTTTCTCCATAAAGAAAAAAAATAGATTTTTAAAACTGCATCACAGGATTCAACTTATTAACGTTTATTTATTTACTCAAAAGTTTTTTAAAAGCTGTAAGGGAATTAGGATTCATTGTTAAGAAGCAGCTTAATTTAATTTTATATTTTACATTAACGGTTTACAAACCAAAAATTTCTCATAGTGCTTGGGGAATGATACAAATATGAGATTTGCATCCACATTTTCTCATTAAACAATTGACCATTAACAACTACTAGCTATAGAACAAGCCCATAGACACATCTCATCCATGGCTCTAAGCACAGTTTACTCGAGTTACCTGAATCTTATGCCGAATTTCCTTTCTTGATGCTTTTCCCCTGTTTCCAGATAGATCGACCTTGTATTTCTTTGAAGTTCCCCCTTTTTTCCAAGTACCATAAGTGAGACAGACAGGCTGGTTGGTTTTCTGTTGTTGTTTTTGTTGTTGTTGTTGTTGTTGTTGTTGAGATGGAGTCTCGCTCTGTCGCCAGACTGGAGTGCTGTGGCGCGACCTCGGCTCACTGCAACCTCCGACTCCCGAGTTAAGCGATTCTCCTGCCTCACCCTCCCGAGTAGCTAGGACTACAGACGTGCGCCACCACGCCCTGCCATTTTTTTGTATTTTTAGTAGAGACGGGGTTTCACTGTGTTGGCCAGGATGGTCTCGATCTCCTGACCTCGTGATCCGCCCGCTTTGGCCTCCCATAGTGCTGGGATTACAGGCGTGAGCTGGTTTTCTATTCAATGTGCTCTGGAGGGAAATAGTAAAAGCCCCTCACTCAAGCTCTGGCTTATGTAACTCTCAGCCAATCAGTGAAGAAGACTCCGAAGCTATCAAGCGCATGTTTCTATTTCAGGGGGCTAGGGACTGTCCTGGAGCATCTGCTTGCACGTTTAGACTTAAACTCCAACCTATAGTGACCCCTTCCTCAGTTTAATGCTAAAAATCATGCTCAGGGGTGGAGATTTAAAATGCTAATATAGGCCAGGTGCAGTGACTCACGCTGAAATCCCAGCACTTTGGGAGGCCGAGGCGGGTGGATCACTTGAGGTCAGGAGTTCGAGACCAGCCTGGCCAACATTGTGAAACCCCGTCTCTACTAAAAATACAAAAAATTAGCCAGGCATGGTGGGGCATGCCTGTAATCCCAGTTACTCGGGAGGCTGAGGCAGGAGAATTGCTTCAACTCAGGAGGTGGAGGTTGCTGTGAGCCAAAATGGTGCCACTGCACTCTAGCCTGGGTGGCAGAGCAAGACTCCATCTTAAATAAATAAATAAATAAATAAATAAATAAATAAATAAATAAATAAAATGCTGACGCTACATATAATGTATGAAGAAGCATGTTGAGCCATTGTGCAAGCACTAGAAAAAAAACCTCTTATACATGCCCTAATGTAACCCTTCCCTATAGAAAGACACTATAAAACTAACCCACACACTACGCTCCGGGAGCAGCCTATTCCTTTTCCTTTCTTGGTGCTGGCTTGCTCGTGCTTCTTTGCTGCTATACTTGATATTTTCTCTTGATTTCTATCCTGGGAGATTGCAAGAATCCAGGGCACTGGTTACATAAATATACCGCTGACCATTTGAGACCTTTATTCACCAACTTGGAACCCTATTTTACTCAGTCATGTAAAAGCCACCAAAAAGATCGTTTACAGCGTTTTTTTTCCCCCACTCTGTTTATTCCCACTTTTTGATAGCAAGACTCTACTCCATATCAAATTTTTAATTTTTATTTGTCCTGGTAGCTGTTCCTTTATTCTTCTCAACTTAGCCAAAAATCGCAAATAATTGCTCTACACTCACACATTTTATTTTGTCTTACAGTCTGTTTTTAAAGTTCTTTTTTTATTTCTATCAGGAAAACTCACTTTTTTGTGTGCACATTCTGTGAATTTTGACACATGCATATGGTTGTGTAATGAACACTGTAGCAAAACCTGAAATGAGTCTCTCACTCCCCAGTTTTTTTTCCATGGCCCACGTTAGCATCCTAAGACTGTTACAGCAAATTACCACAAATATAACGGCTTCACACAACAAGTGTAATAGATATACATTCCAACATATACTGTTATATTTGACATTGTTACATAATTTTTTAATGTTTCTCCATAGTGTCAATAAATATTTCATTAGAGACTTCAGGATATTATTGTATTTGTTGAAATATACTATATTATTTCTACTATTGTGAATAAAAATGATCAAATAAAACTAAGAAATCAAGACATATAATTTGTATACATTATAGGTTATATTGTGATGAAAGTCCATCTGCAAATATTATTTTACGTTTTTTGAAATTATATTATTAAATGAATAACTAGGATTACTAATTATTCCAATGTTGTGCCAATATTTATAGTTCATGTTATGTATTTGTCATGTTGCTTTCCAAAAGTCTGTATCAATTTTAATACCATTAGCTCTATAGAACTATACCCAGTAATTGCAAACTAGATATATACTTGGTGACAGATTTTTTTAAAGAAAACTTTTAATGTAACTTAACAGATTTAAAATCTTAATTTAAGTTTAACTTACAATATTTTATTACTAAAAAGAATGAACATTTCCTATTTGTTTTTTCTTCTAAAAATCTTTTTTTCAGAATAAAGCAGAATACAAATAAAAATGAATAAAATTAGTTTTTCAAATGTTTTATCTGGTGTCAATTTCTTTTATACACTTATACCATTTATCTATTAGAATTTTTATTTTCCTTCTTTTAAATATGATTTATATATTTATTTATTAGAGTGATTTAATTATTATCTAGAAAAGAAAATGTAATTTTTCCAAGCTGTTGTAGTACTTCAATTTTTAGCATTATATATCACTTCATACATTTTAAAAATTATGTATGTATATAGCTATAATTTTTCCTTTTACATTGTTTCTGCTTCATTTCATAAAACAAAGATATTTATTATCTAATCTCATAAAATAATCTTAGATTTTTATAGCTTTTATATGTTATTTAAAAGCTATAAAAATTTTATAGCTTTTATAGGAGTTTACTTCCATATATAGTATTAAGGGATATAGTAATAATTTTCTGTTACTATTAAATATATGTTAATCTGTTCTTGTTGCTTTGTTTTGAAAAGCTTGCATTACCATGTTAGGTTTTATATGTATTTCACTAACCACTTATGGGATTAAGATAGGAGATGTGACTTAAATTATATTTTTAAATTTAAAACATCATGTCTAATAGAAATTAACAAGATTCCATCAAAATGTGCTATTAATACATATAGTCATGGACAACATGTATCCTATTAAAAAAATGGTAAATGTTTGTCATCAGAAAAATTATTTAAGAGAGGTGTGGTACTGTTTCTGACTCAAATAATTGTAGCTATTATTTTGTATCACCCTCAGTGTATTTCCTTACTAGGTGGCATACTTTTATCTGGAATATAAAAATATTGCTAACCAATATTTTGAAGCATTCATAAAACTGCACATATAGTTTATAGTTCTAATGATTTGATTTGATGTATACAGATATGCTACACTGTTACTGAATTGGGTCAATTCAACTAAATCCATAATCAATCACTTTAATGGTGTTTATCTAGCAGTCCCTTAAGCTCACCAGCAGTTGTAGTTTATTGTAATACATTGATACCCTATTTTTACCAAATGTAGTTAGAATTATATATATGAAAATTGTAAAAGGTAGCCCAAGTTACCAGAGACACACTGACTAGCTTTTTATCATTCTTTGAAACTTGATATTGGAAATCCTGGTTGTTTGAACATTACTGGAGTTAACCTAAAGAATGAAAATAAAAACTGCTCTAAAGAATATGTTCTTCATTTATTCACATTGTGAACATGGTTGGATGTTTATTCCGCATTTATTCGTTCTTCGCCAGTTCAAACAGAACTCCAGTTTTATTTAGGTACTCCTCCCTTACCCCCACCTCTATTGCCGTACTCCCATGCCACTCAGAAAAATCTGAGTCCACATTCAACTCATCAGGGGCTCATTAGAAATGGGCCTGATGAATCCAATTTCATTCTTGTTAGTCACTGGCTCAAAAATCAGCCTTGAAGGAATTTCAGAAAGTAAGACCAGTGTGAGTTGGGAGGACAATGGTTTTGATGGGAAACCTTCCTCTATCCGAACAAAGATGAACAAGAAGGTACAGCCTTTTTCGCTCATCTGAATATTGTTATTCAGGTTTATCCCTTGCCACCAACTTGGAAATGAGACTCAGGCTCCAGAACTGCACATTCAGTGAATGACCCTCCCTTGCCACTTCATGTTACCTGAGGGTTTTAGTATGAGAAAGCAAAGTGGCTCAGAGTAGTCTGAGGAATGTGGGGTGTGCACAATTTATCAAGCTTAGACGAGAACAAGACTTCAATCAGCCCCACCCACTCACCCCTTTTCCCATATTCATGCCAGGGAGTAATTGTTTAATGGTATTTTTTTTTCTTTCTTTCCTCCTAGTTTCAGACTAGCTGATAAATTACCTCAAATGTGACCCACTCATTATCTTCATGTCCCTGACATGCGTGATAAAAAGAACAACATATAGCCTATAGATTAAAAATCTTAGGAACTGCACTCTTTTTTTTTTTTTCTATAAAAACCCACTTGTAAGTGCTGAGAGGCTGCATTCCTCAATCTTGGTCCGAATAAACTCTCTACTTATATCTCAGTTTCTTCCTTTAGGTTAACAGGTGACAGTGAGTATCAGAGGTCTGACTATTCTGGAGATGTAGCTTCAAGCCACATTCCCCAGTTTTCTAACTCCACCTACCTCTGTGAGAGTGAGAGACCTGAAGACTTATTTTTCCATCCCCCCACCTTGTGTCTAAGACTGATCTGGATGCCTCTATACAGAGCTAAATGTTAAGCTTTATTTATTTATTGTTTGTTTGTTTAGGTGGAAAAATAATAAAACAGATATATCTGTCTCTTGCAGAGTAAGATAATTCTGAAAGCATAACTCATGTTAACTCCAAATACCCGAGACAGGTCTCAGTCAATTTGGAAAGTTTATTTTACCAGAGTTAAGGACACACCCATGACACAGCCTCAGGAGGTCCTGATGACATATGCCCAACGTGGTCGGGGCACAGCTTGATTTTGTACATTTTAGGGACATTAATCAATATATGTAAGATGTATATTGGTTGGTTCCAGAAAGGCAGAACAACTCAAAGCAGGGAGGGCGCTTCCAGGTCATAGGAAGATAAGAGATAAACAGTTGCATTCTTTTGAGTTTCTGATTAGCCTCTCCAAAGGAAGCAATCAGATCTGTATTTATCTCAGTGAGCAGAAGGATGATTTTGAATAGAATGTGAGGCAGGTTTGCCCTAAGCAGTTCCCAGCTTGACTGTTTTTTTTTCAGCTTAGTGATTTTGGGGTCCCAAGATTTATTTTCCTTTCACACTTAGATGAATTATTATGTTAACCCAAGAATGAGAATGCAGAGAGACAGAGAGTCTGAAAAAAAAAAATAGAGGAAACTTGGCCTACCGCAGAACAAAATTTAAAAATAAATGAAAAGCAATTGCTTGAGAAAGAGTCTTAGAAAAACATTAACTTTAGAAACACTTTGCTTTTTTCTAACATATGTGAAGTACACTGTTGCTTGCTAACTTTTATTTTATTAAACTAAAAATTGAAGATTTAAATAATATTGTCTTATATTATTGCCTTATATACATGTATGTGTGTGTATATATATATATATATATGCATAGATTGAGTACATTTATAATTTTTAAAAAATGACAGAGCTGAAGCATTGCCATCTTGGACAAGCACTGCCATTCTAAAGTTCCCCTTGATCAAAAACTGCCTAAATCCAAAGGGCATCAGTCTAATGGCTAAGGTCAGCATGACTATAAACCACAAATAACATCTCTGACCAGAAACATTCCAACCATAAGATAAACTCCTCCCCCACCAGAGACATGCCAGCCCTGAGATAACCTCCCCTCTGGCCGGAGAGATGTCAGCCCCAAGATAGCCTCCCCTCCCACCAGAGGCAATCCAACCCCACTACAAGCTTCTCCCTTACACAGAAACATTCCAAGCTTGTGATAAGCTCTCTCACCCTAAAAAGCCAATAAATGCTCTTAGCCTGTAAGAGAGAATGCTCCTGACTAAAATCGGCCAGAAGCCCCTCTCAGGTTTATTCTCCAAAATAAACCTGTCTTTGACTTTTGAGCCACTTTTCATTAAAGAGTTAAAGAAAGAAAGCCTCTTTCTTTAACTCTTACAAAAAATAAACTTATGTGTACTGAAAAATAGAAGACTGGTATTTAGAGGGAGAACATGTCTTTAATTGTGGAATGTAACAAAAGAAATATTAGGAATTTTAATTTCTGAAAAAGCCAATGTTCTTTGTTTTACTCTCTTTTTTTTTTTTTTTTGCTTTTACCATTATGTAGTATGATAAGAATCAGCACAAAAGAATGAAAGATAACAATGTCTTTGAATATAAGGTAGACATTCAGTTTGCATAGTTGCTGTTTTCTTCTTTTTAATCTACCTAATCATTTTGTAGGTAAAGATTTTAAAAAGTCAAAATTATCTTTTATTTCATTTAGATAGACAATAGATTAGTAGCCACTTTGAAAGAACCAACTTTAATATTCTTTAATTAATCAAAATATTAATATATATAAGATCACAGAAATGAATACTAAAATCGAGTAAACTAAAGTACCAATCAAGAAACTCTTCCCCAATGTCCCACCCAACACATCTAGGGATTTGATCTTAAGACTTGATTGTTCAGATAATTACTTGTAGATCTTTGTTTTGTTCCTTCCACTAGTGTTCAGTGAAGCTCAAATTGCCCTGGGCTTCAGGACCATCTGAAGATCTTGTTAAAATGCAAATATCTGGTCCATCATAGGCTTACCAAAATAGAATCTCAGCAGATGGGATCTTGTCATCTGTTTATTAACAAGCTGTTCCAAGTGATTCTGATCCATCCCGAGTCTGATTCTGGTCTCGCTAATTATTTTAGGTCATCTCTGTAAGTTTGGTACCTTCTTCCCCTTCCCCTGTATTGTGGGGAAGCTACATATTGGTATACATTAACATTGGATAATTTAGGATCTTCAAAAGTAAAATGCTGTTTTGGTTCCCAAAAGTATAAAATGGTTAGAAAACATCCAGAGGTGCGGTTTGTATGGATGTCACAAAAATATAAGATGCCAAAATCCTCCTATCTTGTTGGCCTCTGATAAGAAAGGGCTTTTAATCCCAGCACTTCCGGAGTCCAAAAATGGATCACCTGAGGTCAGGAGTTTGCAACCAGCCTAACTAACATGGTGAAACTCTGTCTCCACTAAATACAAAAAAATTAGCCAGGCGTGGTGGCACATGCCTGTAATCCAAGCTACTTGGGAGGCAGAGACAGGAGAATTGATTGTACCTGGGAGGCGGAGGTTGCAGTAAGCCGAGATTGCACTCCAGCCTGGGCAACAAGAGCAAAACTCCATTTCAAAAGAAAAAAAAAGAACAGGCTTTTTGTGGGCTATATACATGTGGGTCAAAATGTACATTTGTGATCACTTTGAGAATAAAATCCTGTCTTATGAAGGTATTTATTCTCTTAGGTTCATATTTGTGTTTTCTGTTTTCTCATCACTCTAAGAGTCCACTATCACTAGGATTAAGGATCTTAGACTACATGTCTGTGTGAGTTATGTTAGCTTGGGAATTCTTAAAAGACAGAACATGATTCTTACTCTCTTTATTTCTCAGCTGTTAAGGAAATTTTATCTTCAAAATATGGTAACCATCTTTGTCTGTTCTGGGTGGAGTGGGACTTATTCTGAATTTTATGTGATTATTATTGCACTCTAAGATAGCATTTATTCATTTTGATTGTCAAGCAAATCACATTATTTTTGTACAGAGCTTGTAATTAAATAATATCGTGAAGACATTTTTGTTAATAGGAACTACTTTCAGGCTATCTCCTTGCTGTATTAGTTCAATTTAGAAATTTACATTCAGTTTTATATTATTATTTTGCTTAAGACACAATATTCTAAGGTTTTAAAATAATTTTGATTGCTAATATTCTCATCAGTATATTATCTAAGTATTATAATACTTTGTTATTTGAAGGTTTTATAAATCTGACTTCTAAATGGAACCATCTTTGCAAAAATTATAACAGTGAGAAAATTATGACAGTGAAAAAGATCTGACCTAACCAACTTCATCTTGCTTCTAACCTCCAAGCTGTCCTTGTTCATGCCTGGGTATAGGCCAAACTAACTTTGAGAGGAACTTAGTTTATTGTTTAACTTTGAAATTAAGGTGATAACAGCCCTTTCCCAAAAGAAAACTTCCTCTTCCTTGGGAACTGTACTGCCATTGCAGGACTAACAAATTAGCCATAAGATTAGAAATTACAATTTAGGAGTCACAGTTGTAAAACCTGAGATCAGTGTGCTTGAGATATTTTGCTGACTCTACGTTCTGATGCACCAGCTGATACCACCAAGATTGATAAACTACCTCATCTGGTCTTGTGACCCCAACCCAGGAACTGACTCAGTGCAAGAGGACAGCCTCAACACTATAATTTCATCTTCGACTTTACCAATCAGCACACTCTACTTTCTGATCCCCTACCCACAAAACTGTCCTTAAAATCCCTGATCCCCAAATTTTCAGAGAGATTGATTTGAGTGTTAATTCCATCTCCTATCAGCCAGTAACATAAAGTTTCATCCGGCCACACACAATGGCTAGTGCCTGAAATTCTAGCTGCTCAGGAGGCCGAGGCAGGATTTCAAGACAAGCCTGGGCAGACTTTTGCATTTCTGATGACTAATGGATGGATGGTTTTACCGAGAAGTGGACTCCCCGGCCCTCCAAACTATCCTCGAAAAACCCTAGCCTCCTAATTTTTGGGGAGATTAATTTGAGTAATGATAATTCTGTCTCCCACATAGCATGACTGGCCTCATGTCAATTAATCTTTACAGCAATGCTGTGGTCTCAGTAAATTGTTTTCATCTGTGCAGGGGGCAGGAAGAACCCATCAGGTGGTTACACCTTCCTGCAATACATTTTCACCCATGAAAATTTGTTCTTCTTCCCCCTAGCAAAAATTAAAACGCAGAACATGGAACAAAACTAGGAGAAGCTCTTATCAAGTCAAAATGTGTCTTGTTATATATAATTTTTTCCCATTACAATGAGTGCAAATTTGCCAGAAGCCAACAATTTCAACCTTGTCTGCCTAAAATTTAGCTAGCAAACCTCTGCCCTATGAATGTCCTCAGCTTCTTGCTAAATACACACTTTGACTCTTTTAGAAGAATTAATTTAGTATTATTGGTAGAGAAATAAACACAAACTAATACAGCAACTAAAATGTTTGAAGGGAAAATTTACTATGTATCTAAAAAGCAACGTAAGTGAAGAATCATATTTTATTGATTGTGTTAGGACAAGTGACCACTGCTTATATAAAAATTACACTAACATGGCTTTATAATATTGTGAAATAATTTTCTTTCTTCTACTTTCCTCTGTTCCTGTATCTCACTCAAGCAAGCAGCCTATCCCTTATTTTAATGCTACAGGGAACATTTTTACGGGGCTAGTACATAGAGGTAGACTTAAGTTTGAATTTTCATACATCTTAAGCTCTTAGAAAAATTGAAAGATAAAAAAATAAAGGAAAGAAAGTGGGACTATCTGCCCTATTAAAAGATTAAAAGGAAATACTTCAAGTGGTGGAGCAGAGAGATGTTCTTATGCCAGAAGAGCAAAGGAAACCTGTGCCCTGCTGGCTGGAATCACCTTAAGGATAATTATTAGATACCTAAAAGGAAGGTTTGCATTGTGCATAGCAGATGGAAACTAAGGTAGGAGGCCTTACAGATTATTTTTATTACAGCAAAAAAATCAAAGAAATGTGCTAATACTGAAGGGGTATGCAGAAATAAATCTCACATCTATATCAAGTTGAGACCTGATGATACTGAGAATAAAATAAATCCCACCCAGTGCACTGGCATTGTATTATCCTGATAAAATTTTGCAAAGGGGTCACAGACTCAGGAAGAACTGGAGTTTTCCACTAGCCTAGAATGACAGGTCTTGGATTTAGAAATTAATTTGATTTATAGAAAAGAAAGTGATCTTTCTTGTGCACCTATGTCTGTTAATGGACATTTTTATAGTTTATATGTTGTAGAACTATCGGTGAAATATAAAATTACCAATATCTAAAGTTGCACATAGCAAATTTGTAACTGCCTAAAAACTGAAAGAAAAATCTAACATTTTGACATATTTTACTTTTGCCAGTGTTGACAAAAAGAGTCAAACTCTGTAAGATATTTGAAGAGATTTATTCTGAGCCAAATATGAGTGGCCGTGGCCCATGATACAGCCCTCAGGAGGTCCTGAGAACATGTGCCTAAGGTGGTCGGGGTGCAGCTTGGCTTTATATATTTCAGGTAGGTAGGAGACATCAACCAAATACATTTAAGAAATACACTGGTTTGCTTTAGGAATGTGGGACAACTCAAAGAGGGTGAATTCCAGGCTATAGGTAAATTTAAACATTTTCCGGGTGACAATTGGTTGAGTTTGTCTAAAATCTGGAATTGATAGAAAGGAATGTTCAGGCTAAAGATAAAGAACTGTGGAGACTACGTTTTATTGTTCAGAGGAAGCTCTTAGATAGCTGACTTTAGAGAGAGCAGGTGGTAAACTGTTTTTTATCGTACTTAAAAGGGTGCCTGGCTCTTCGTTGATTATCTCCTGGATATGGGAAGGAAGGAAGGAAGGAAGGAAGGAAGGAAGGAAGGAAGGAAGGAAGGAAGACAAAGGGGGAAGGGGATTCTCTATAGAATATGGCTTTTCCCACAAGAGACTTTGCAGGGCAATTTCGAGGCATGGCAAAGAAATATGCTTTGGGGTTAAATTTTTTTTTTCCTGTCTCATAATGTTATGCCAGAGTCAGATTGAAAACTAAGTCACAATAAATAGGGCCAATAAAACCCATCTGATGAGAATTTATGGTTTGTAGGGCATGACTCTCTAGACCCCCTAGGTAGGAATTTGGGTGAGCTAAAAAATATCAAAGCTTAGTCCTCACAAGATTGGCCCAATATTGTTGGACTTTATGAAAATAATGAACACAAAGAAAGCTTCTAGTGGCAGAAACAATAAAAAATAAAATTTGATAAGAGCAAAACTGATGAATGTCAAAAAAACAACTACACCAAAATAATTTATTTTATAAAAATAATTGTAGTAAAATTAAAATTAAGAAATAGGAAATAGTTTAACTATATAGAAAATGAAGTAAGCAACTAAATTTGCTTAATATAGCTTATTTCAAAAATATTTTTTCTGATGAAAATGCACCAATATTGTTCTAATTCTGATATTAAGATATGCATTCATTAACTCACAATAAAATATCATTAGGTTCAAAATTAAATCCATGAAGATATGATCTACAGATCCTTTAGCCTGACTTGTTTATGTCTAAATAACTAGACACTTCAAATTATTGTTCCAAAAAATAAGATGTATTACATAATAATTTTCTTTTTTACTTTTGCACACGTTTAGCAAATTATAATTGATTATTTTTACTTACCAAAAACAGGGAAAATTAGTGATAGGAGGAGAGAAAGAAAGGATGACAAAAGAAAGAAAAAGAAAGGAAAAATGAAAAGGAGGAGATGTGAGCATATTCTAACAGGCAGTTAGATTGACTGGATCATTTGAGAGTAATTTCACTGAAATTGTTTGAGTGGGAGTTAGACTGCAATTATCTGGGAGAAATGGACGTCTAGGAAGTAAAAATAAGACAGTAGCCTATTATTTCAAAAGCCTCACTCTGAAGGGCAGACATCAAACTCATAGCACAGTTTTTTATGTTAGTTTTATTGCATATATTAACTGTATATTCACCCTAGGTTTACTTTTTCATTTAGGTTTTGGCCTGATATTGTTTCCAATATTGTCAGTTCATTAGTCAGTCTTTTACAAAGACTGTTTTTTTTTTTCCCCTAAGGCTTGAAGTTGATCCGAATAAACTATCCTGCCATACTTAAAGGAGAAGTCCCTGAATATGTACATGTAAATTCTCTAAGTTTTGAGCAGACTTATCATTATCAGTTAATAAGGTTCATTTGTGCCATTGTTTGCAATTCTTTTTTTGGTTTTATTTATTTTGGTCTTACTTTGCTGGCTAGATTCTCAAAGTGTTGAATAGAAGCACTATTAGTACAGAACCCGTCATTTCTATTTTAAAGGAAAGGTCTCTGACCTTTAAATAGTATAAGTTTTGTTGTAAGTATCAAAGAAAGAAACTCTTTCTCTTTATAATTTTCAAAGTTGTCTTTTTTAAATCATGAATATTTCGTGAATTTAAACCAATATTTTTAGTGCATTTATTGAGATTATATGAATCTTTTAAATTCATTAAATTGTTTTAAATCCTTTAAAGTATTATTGTCAAATGTACAGACTTTTGATGATAAACTTTCCATGTTTCCCTAGGATACATTTAACTTGTTTACGATGCATTTTTAATACACTGCTAGATTTAGTCTTTTCTTTTGTTTCTAATTTTGTGTCTACATTTTTAAATGAGACTAGCCAATAATGTTTGTTTCTTTCTTTTATTGTGTATATCAGTTTGGGTATCAAGGTTATGCTAGCCTCATAAAATGAAATGAAGAATATTTTCTTTATTGTTTCTGTTTTCTGAAAAAGTTTTTCAATAATTTTTTTGGTGGAACTCATTGGTGAGGCAGTCTGGGCTAGGAATTTTCTCTTGGGGAAGATTTTTAACATCTGTAAAGATATGGGAAAAAAAAACTCAGTTTTTTTCACTGTATTGTCACAACACAACACAGAATACTTCTGTGACCCCAGTTATTGCAAGAGGTCGGGGACAGTTTCCCAACACATCAAGGAAGCAATGTTTTCTGCAGTGGACACCAGCTGGGTGTCCTCTAATTCAGTTAAGTTTTGTCACTATCTACCTGGAGGTAGCATCAGACCCCAGAGGTTGACAGCTCAGACCCACAGGACTGCCACCTCCTAGTTAGACACTAGTTGCAAATAGTTGAGTGTTACCTATACTTCTGACCCATGAGCTATAAATCCGGGGTCCCTCCCAAATCCCTTCTTGAGTTTGATTAATTTGTTGCTAGAATGCCTCACTAAACTCAGGGAAACAGTTACTTCTATTTACTGTTTTATTATGAAGATATTACAAAGAATACAGATAAAGAGACTGTAATCCAAAAGACCACCAAGATGGCTAAATAGTAGAAAAGAGAACTTTACTGGTGATATCAGTTTGCAAACCAATAATGGAAAGTCTCCATCAAGGACCAAAGATGCTCTCTCCAAAGAGAGGAAGAGCAGATTGGATTTTATATCTCACAGGGCCTGTATGACTCAATAACGTCATACATATTCAGAAAGTTTGGAAGAAAAGTTGCACATATTTATGAGAGGGGTAAAGCACACGCATAATGGGTAAACATATGTGTAACATACACCCCATGTTCACTTTGGGGTGGGGTTTTAGCATTAAAGGCAAATGGAAATTGGCTCTTTATACCAAAAAGTGAACTCTCGGACACAAAGATTGTTTGTGCACAGCCTATATAAGGTGGGTGAAACTGGCTTAAAGTCTGCAGTTACTTATAAGAAGAGAATGATTGTAAGGCCAGTCCTCTATCCAACCAGGGTTGTAATAGTCTGGGTTGTAAATCAGAGTTAGGAGAGGTCTGACAATTTCCCTGATAGCTTCTATTGTTAGAGAGTTTTGCAAGAGTGTGGTTTCTCTTGCAGTTGTAGGAATTTAGATATTTGCTATATCAGCTGGGACCTGGACCCTCAACCTATACGTAACTTTTGTTTCCTTAACCTTCAGATCCACCTTAGTTGTTAAGAGAGCATCTCAGATCACAAGATGCACAGGGTGAGGTTATGTGGGAAGGAGAGCAGAGCTTCCCCGCCTCTCCAGGTGAAAGCCTCCCTCCAGGAACTTCCATATATTCAGTATCCAGAAGCTCTCCCAATCCAGTTCTTCTGCGTCTTTACTGAGGCTTTATTACTTAGGCATGATTGATTAAATCATTGGTAAGTATTGATGATCAACTTAATCTTCAGCCCCTCTCTCCTCCTCAGAGGCTGCAGGGTGAAACTAAAAGTCTCACTCCTCTAATTCTGCCTTGGTCTTTCAGTGAAGAGCCCCCATCCTGAAACAATCCGGGGGCCTCAGCCACAGTCATTTCATCATGGTACAAAAGACACTCATCACTCTAGAGATTCCAAGGATTTTAGGACATGTATATCAGGAAACTAGAGGAAGACCAAATGTACATTCCACGATATCACAAAATCTAAATTGTCTTAATTTTAGGATAGCTGGATATTCTCTTTCTTCTTAGTTGGGTAGGGAATATTTTCCTACAATTGTTTTCCTTTATGCCTAAATTTTTAAATTTATTGGTTTAAAGCAGGGGTCAGAAAACTTTTTTTGAAATGGGACAGATAGTAAATATTTTAGGCTTTGTAGAACACAAATGGCCTCTGCCAAATATTTTTTGTTTCTTTGTTTTTACCTTTGTTTTTATAATCTTTTAATAATGTAAAAACCATTTTTGACTTAAGTATTATACAAAAATGGCTTAGGTCAAACTGTGGCCTAAAGTTGTTTTAAAAATATTACCATTTAAGAGCCTATAATACTTGTAATTATAATGCTTTCTCTTACTGATATTGGTTATTATTGACTTTTCTGTCTGGATTCTTTGCATTACAGAATTATTAACTTTATTAGTCTGTTTTAAAAATACAGTACAAATAGCAAGACTCTAGCTTAAGCCTCGCCACATTGATCATTATTATCTATACAATCCAATGAAGAGATTGTTAAACTGGGTAAAAAAGAAAGGCTTAACTATTTGTTGCTTATAAGAAACTCACTTTAAAATAACAATTCGAATAGGTTAAGAGTAAGAAAATGCATAAAGATTTACTTATGCAAATTCTAATCAAAGAAAACTGGAATGTCTATAGTACTATCAGACTAAGAAGTCTTAAGAAAAGGAACCATTGCCAGGGTTAAAAAGACATTTTATAATGATAAAAGAATAATTCATCCAAAAGTCATAAAAATCTTAAATATGGGTGCACCCAATGATAAAGCTTCAAAATACATAAACGAAATCTGACAGAACTGATAAAAGAAACCGACAAACCCACAATTAAATTTGGAGACGTTAAAGCCCTTGTCTCAGTAATTGCTAGAACAGAGAGTGAATTAGTAAAGATACAGAATTATTAAACAACACTGTAAATCACCTGGGCTTAATTGACATATATGGACCACTGCACTCCAGTTCTTTCCAAATACACATGTAACAATCACCAAGATAGACCGTTTGCTCAGCAAAAAAATGGGCCTCAGTAAATCTTTTGTTGTTTTGCTTGTCATGTTCTGCTTAGTAACAAAACTACTTTATTCATAGGTCTTTTTACCAAGCAGGTGGTTTGATGTATTTTGTTTGTTTGTTTTTGATTCACCATTACCTTGATTATGTAGCCCTTTGTAGTCTCATTTTTATGGGATTTTTATGGGAGGATTAACTCTCGGTCCCAAACTGTGGCAAATTTGAACTTTGGACTTTTTCTTCTACTCCCAACCAGGCTTTCAGAGGCAGAGTTAGCGCTTACCTAGTGTGTAAGTGCCTTGGGGAAAAAAATGGTCTTTACACTCTATCTAAATGTTTATACTCTTGCTTCTGCTTCATTTTCTTCTGGTAATTTCTCACTATCTTGTCTGTGTTTGATGCATTTAAGTATCTACTTTTCAAACTTTTAGCCAGCATTTTCAGTTTTTTTCAACAGGCGTGGAGGTATGAATACTCCAGCCTGTTATATTATCAGGATCGTTGACCCACTAAACAGGATCATTGACCCACTAAACAACATACAACAGTGATACGATTTCTCAATAAAATTAGTTCTCTATTTACTATTTGTGGCTGAATGGTATTTCCTGGCTAGATTTAACAAAATTTATATACTCAGTTATCTACCTATTTTCTTTACATTTCTTCTTTTAGTTTTTTAAATGGATAACTCAGTTATAATTTTGCTTGTACCTAGCTTTTGTGTACTTTTCTACTTCATACAAATACATTTATAGCATTGAGCTAAAATAATTTAGAATTTTTCAACTATACTAATTCTTAGAAAGAACAAAGAATAAAGCAAGTGTTGACTGTTTATCATAATTCTAGAATATTGTATTATACTGTGGTTTAATTGCTTTTAACTTGCATTATAGCACAAATTTAAAGTGAGACATTTTGCAAAAACTTTCTAATTTCTTCACGTATTTTCTCCTTTTTGAATCATTTGATATTCAAATAAGTCTGATTTAAAGCACCTATTATTTCAACATTATTGCCAAGTTTCTTGTCTTCAATTATTGGAATCATCAATTGTAGACTTTTGTGTGATTGACCTTTATCATAAAACATAAATTGCAATCATATTTTTTAAGAAGCATGGTGGACATGAGTAGATGGAAAATTAAGATGCTTTGTGAAATGGCCTTTCTTAATACGTGAAGGGAAAAAAATGCTTGTAAGATATTTACATTTGTACATAGATAAATGGACTGGAAACCAATGATCCTATTGGAGTTTAGCCAGTTGGCTTAAAGGCCTCAGTGAAGGTTAGAGACACATGTGCTCCTCCACTGCTCTTTATCAAGTTTACACATCATCTCCCCGTGTTTACTCATAGTTAGTGAGAAGAAGCAAAAATACAAATGTTTGCCACCAACTCTTGTACATGTGTTTTTTAACTACAAACTTGTGATAGTTTAACCACATGGTTGTAAAACATATTTATTATAGGAAAATGTATTTTAAGTTATTAAAGAGCAGGAATTAAACAGACTTGTTTATTGTTCTTAACCCACCAATATTATTTAATATTTTTGAAATAATTTTACCTGTGCTGCTTCTTTATCAGTGGAGATTAATGTTACCTTCCACAGATCTAATCTGAGCACAATGTGAAGCTTAGGTTTTTTTGATAAAACACAAATTTCTTCCTGTCATTTATCCATGATTTTGAATATGATTCAAACAACTCTAAAATATCATTATTCTTGACTTCATCAAATTCTTTACCTTTCACAAGATTTTCAATTTCACTCTGCAATCATTTTGCACCACAGTTATACTTTATGATTATCTCTGTATAAACCCATATTTTAAAACTATTCAAAGATCTGAAATTATATTAAGAACAAGGGCAGCACTATTTTTAAGTGAAAAGAAATGCTTATACGTGATCAATAATGATAAGTTTCAGTCTGCTAAGCAGACGCATTATGGTCTCAGATAATGAATAGTGAAATAGTAGTTTATCCTGGGTCTGTGTCTCTTATCTGTAATCTTTTTCATTGGGCTGTATATCAGTGCTTGTAACATACTGTTTCTATTAGCCTGTGATACATTTTTAACCTAAAATTGCAAGTCCCATTTTATTTATAAAATTGCCTATTATCTTCTAAATAATCTTTAAGTGGACTGCTAAAATTCTGCAGAAAAAAAAAATTGATATTACATTGAATTTCTAGCATAATGTAAGAATAACTAGCATATTTACAAAAAAAAGCAATATTTGTAACTCCTAAATGTAGAAAAAGAAAGCTAGTCTTATTCAGATTAACCCAAATGCAAATTAAGACCAGAGTAGAATTTTACTTTTCACTTATTAAATTGGCAAAGACAAAACATTTGTGACGCTGTGCTGGAGAGGACATGTGAAAACAGGAACAGTTACATATTAATGATGGGTGGGTAAATTGGAGCTATGGAGTACAAATATTTATGAAAATTTTAAATGCACATATTCATTTACCATCAAAACTGCTTTCAGTAATGTTTCCTACATATAAACTGACACATGTATAAACTATTATAGAAATGTTTTCATTGCAACCCAATTTGTTATGCAAATATGGGGAATCACCTTAATGCCCAACTATAAAGAACTGAGTAAAAATATTTAATGTACCTTTATACAAGAGAACATTATGCCATCATCAAAAATATTCAAAAAGAAACTCTATAGGTATATAATTCAAGATAGATCATTAGATGAAATAAGGCAAGGGGAAGCGCAGCATGTATACCATGTAACCACTGGTGAGAAAAATATACATTGTCAACCTTACAAAATGAGATTCAGAAAATATGATTAAGTATATGGTTTGAGTGCAAAGCCCTAGGATAGCCATTTGGGAAATATCAACTCCAAATGAATGGGGTCAATGTTCCAAAGTGGAAAAGTTAAGGTTTCACTTACTTAGGCAGATACAGAGAAATTTTAGCAGAATTACATTTTTCATATGAGACCAGTGTATATGTTACCACGATTCTGTTGATTACAGATTGGATTATGTTATTACTTCATGAGGAAGGGTAGTGATTTGAGGGAGGCATCTTATCTCTGGTGCCACTTACTCTTAATTATTTATAAGAAGAAAAAGGCAGAAGTTGCAGCTGAATGCCACAAGACTCAGGCTGCATAGACATATTCCCCTCAAGGCTCAGAAGAATGTAAAGTTCCAACAGTGTTAAGTTTGAATTATTTTGTTTGAATTATTTAATTTTACAACATCCATTTATTTATGTATAAATGTGTATAATATCTCTAGAAATCACAGAAAGTGATGGCTATCTCTGCTGGGATTTGAGTAGCTAGCAACAGGGGAAAGACAGAGGCTGAACTCTTTGGCAAATATAATTTAAAATATTGTACTATAATTACATTACAGCACAATAAATAAAGTGTAAATATTGCACTTATAATAACAAAACAAAAATGACAAAAAAAAGTCTGAATGAAAAAAATTGGAAATTTTTTAAAATGTTAAGTAACAAATTATCAACCTCAATAGAAATCAAATTTGTATGATATTCTTTGTGACTCACCAGATAAATAATGACAAAAGCAAATTTTTTTATTAAAAAAAATACACCCACAATTAATAGCTGGCAGTGACTCAAAACTACGATACCTCTTTTTTGGAAAAAAAAAATGAATGTTTGAAAGTGGCAAAAAAAAAAAGATATGAAATTGCAACTAGTCAATCCAAAGGTATATGTGGGAACAGCATCTGAAATTGCCAACTGGTTACCTTTAGAGCCTCTAAAGCTAAGGTAGATGTGATTACAGCTCTGATGTATCTCCCCTCACCAAAAAAGGTGACATTACAGCAGAAATGAAGCTGCGACATTCTTTTATTTTGTTCTTTTTACAGATATTTTTACTCGACAGCCTAATTGACCCACTCACTGTGATAACCCCAAAGTAGATAAAGAATAAATTCACCCACTTCTTTATAAGAGAAACATCTAATTGCCAGAGGGAAACTACTACTTTCACAATTCAAAGCAGCCTCTTGACAATCTGATTTGGAGTCAGTCATGGTCAGATTCAGGAATCATCAAGCTGAGAACTTGAAATGAAGCACAAACCCACACCAGCCAGTGCAGCCACAGAGGGATAATAAAGGTCAACAAATAAAGGTGAAGAGAAATATAGAGGAAAAAACCCACATTAAACGGATTTCAAACACAGTGTTAAAGACATTAGCTAATAGTTGATGTGGAAAATCCAGTGTTTTCAAATTTGAAATAATCCGGGCATTTTTAGTTTGATAGTGTAGGTGATTAGGGAAAACTTCTTTGCCCTCTGAAGGTTCCTCACAGGTAGCAGGACACAGAGAGAATAGATGGTAAATATTTCTTTCAGGCTTTATTTTGTTTTTTTTAATTGTAAAAAATAACTTTAGAATATTATTTCACTTAGATTTGCATGGTTGCAAGACTTATTTTTATTTCATTTTATTTTTAACTTTTGTTTTAGATTCTGGGATACATGTATGTGCAGGTTTGTTATATAGGTAAATTAAATGTTGTAGGGGTTTTTTTGTGTGCACAAAATGTGTGCAGGTTATTTTGCCACCCAAGTAATAAGTAGAGTCCTGTACTGGTAATTTTTCAATCCTCACCATCAAATAGGCCCCAGTGTCTGTCGTTCCCTTCTTTGGGTCTATATGTAGTTGATGTTTAGCTCCCACTTATAAGTCAGGACATGCAGTATTTGGTTTTTCTCTCCTTGTGTTAGTTTGCTTAAGGTAATGGCCTCCAGTTCCATGCATGTTGCTGCAAAGGATATGACCTTGTTCTTTTTTGTGGTTGCATGCCATTCTATTACTTATGTTTACCACGTTTTTTAAATCCAGTTTACCGTTGGTAGACATTTAGGTTGATTCCATGTCTTTGCTACTGCGAATAGTGCTTGTGATGAACCTATGCATGCATGTGTCCTTAGGGGAGAGCGATTTATATTCCTTTGGGTATATACCCAATAATGGGATTGCTGGGTCAAATGGTAATTCTAAGTTCTTTGAGAAATCACCAAACTGCTTTCCACAGTGGCTGAATTAATTTACATGCCCGCCAGCAGCATATAAGCGTTCCCTTTTCTCCACAACCTCACCAGCATGTTAATTTTTTGACTTTTTAATAATAGCCATACTGACATTTTAGCCATACTGACTGGTATGAGATGGTACCACACTGTGGTTTTGACTTGCATTCCTCTAATGATCAGTGATGTTGAGCATTTTTTCATATGCTTGTTGGCCACATGTATGTCTTCTTTTGGAAATGTCTGCTCATGTTCTTTGCTCACTTTTTAATGGGTTTGTTAGTTTCTTGTAAATTTGTTTAAGTTCCTTATAGATTCTGAATATTAGACCTTTGTCAGACACATTGTTTGGCCAAGGGAAAATTTCTCCTTTGCCCTTTGAAGGTTTCTCACAGGTAGCAGCCCTTAGAGAGAATAGATGGTAAATGTTTCTTTCAGAGTTTTAAAGGTGTCAGACTCTCAGCCTCTCAGTTCATCTTCTCTAGATCCAGACAAGAGAGAACCTTAGAGAAAGGCCGGCTGTGTCAACACAGATTTTCTCTACAGATGGAAATCTCCTCCACAACAGGCAGCTTCGTAGGACTACTCTGTCTGCAATCCCTGTGAACATCCGTCTCAAAATATGTCAAAGAAGTATATTTTGGGATAAAATATTTTGGTTTCCTTCAACAGAATTTACAAAATTCTTGGGTGCCAACAGTTTCTTTCTTCTGTAATAAAGTAGCAGTTCAATATGAAATTTCATCAGACTATTTCTCTTTATTAACAACCTCTTGAAAATTATTTGCAGAATCTGCATTTTTGGTCATATTTTTTGAAGTTCCACCTCTTTCAAGATTGATAAAAACATATGTTTATCTTCCAGAACGAAGCCTATGTTAAGGCGAGGTTCAGGACAGATTCCTTTGAAAAATGTTTCTCGAGAACTTACAAGACAAAAAAAAAAGAAGTACTAATTGCAAAAAACTGAAAGCAATTACCTAAAGCTTAAATGGTGATAGGTAAGATGAAAATCCTCTGTCCCCGAGAAGGACCACAAACATATATAAAATTATCAAAGAGGCTCAAGCTTGTTAACTTGTTAATAATAATTTGTAGAGGGCCATCCGCCCTAATCTGTCTCCCTCACAAATGGGCTATAGCAGCCTTCTGCTCTGGAAAACATATTTTCCTATATGCCCCATCCACTGAGGGGCTTTCTCAAGCAGCAAAGGTGCTTGAACTATACCTATTGGAATCATTGAGATGATTTGTTTTCACTGAAACTGTGTTTTCTTTTTCTTTTTTTTGTTTTTTTTGCTCCAAGATTGTTGCTGATGATTAATCTTTACAAATTTTATGTCAGGAGAGCTTGGCAAATGTAGTGCCATTTTCAAATGACTAAAAAACATAAAATTCACTTTTATTAATGATATTTTTAAAGGACTCTGGATTCAAATTATTGGAATATTTCATGTTGACGTTTAAAAATAATTTGGCTCACAAATAAACTTTTTAACCTAAAGACTTTTAAAAAATCAGATGACTGATTGTGAAAATTAGTATCAAAATGTATGATATGTAAAATAGACTATCTGATTTCAGAATTCACACAGAAATTCAATGGGCCAAAAATTGCCCAGATAATCTTGAAGAACAAAATTGGAGTGTTTATCCTATCAAGTGTCAATTCTGGAGCAGAATTGACAGTCCAAAATGATCCACAGAGATATGTTTACCTAATTCATCACAAATAATATGTGAGAGCACTAAAGTGAGAAAGCGATGGTCTCAGTAACAAATTCTATTTGAACTATCAGATATCCATGTGAGGGAAAATAGATGTTGGCACCTAGATGACACAGAAAGCAATTCCATATGGATTATAAATGGTATATGTTTAGCTTTGTGAAAGTAAAACAATAAAGCTTTTGGAAAATAGCATAAAAGGACATCTCTTAAGTTTGGGATGAGCAGAGATTATCTTAAACAGGCAACAAAAACATTAAATGCAAAGAATACAAAGGTTAAGTTTAGCATAAACCTGCCTCCCTACGTATTTTAAGTTCAGACTAAAGGTTTCACCATACATAGTGAACTATAACCTAACTGGATGTGTAAACTGACCATCACCTAATCTTTGTTTTTTCAACTTTTAAGCTCAGGAGTACATGTGCAGGATGGACTGTCACCTCCTGTAGTACCAATTACAGTCTCAACCAATCACAGCAGCCAATTGCTCAAACTGTGTTCAAATAAGGCAAACACCCAGCCATAACCAATCCAACTGTCTGTACCTAACTTATGTTTTCTGTATATCATGTTCCTTTTTCTGTTCATAAATATTTTCTGGCCGGGCACGGTGGCTCACGCCTGTAATCGCAGCACTTTGGGAGGCCCAGGTGGGTGGATCACGAGATCAGGAGTTCAAGACCAGCCTGGCCAATATAGTGAAACCCCATCTCTACTAAAAAAATACAAAAATTAGCCAGGCATGATGGCGTGCTCCTGTAGTCCCAGCTACTTGGAAGGCTGAGGCAGGAGAATTGCTTGAACCTGCAAGGTGGAGGTTACAGTGAGCCGAGATTGTGCCACTGCACTCAAGCCTGGGTGACAGAGCAAGACTCAATCTCAAAAAAAAAAAAAAAAACTCTGATCATGTGGCAGCCCAGAGTCACTCTGAACCTATTCTGGCTCTGGGAGCTGCCTGATTTGCTAATGGGTTTTTGCTCAGATAAACTCTGTTAAGTTTAAAGGTTTTCTTTTAACACAAATGATAAGTTGCACTTTATTAGAAATAAGGACTTTTTCATCAGAAGGCACTATTAAGATATTAAAAAATAAAGCCACAAAATGAAAGAAAATGTTTTCATCTCATATTTCTAATGAAGGATTTCTATGCATAATATATAAAGAATTTCTACAAAACACTAAGAAGAGATGAAGTAGTTAAACACAAATGGAAGAAGCACTTCAAAAAAAGAACATATTTATATATATATATGGTCAGAGAACTTTTGAGAAAATAACCTAAATAACTGACTAGAGAAAGAATAGTCTCTTTGATAAGTGGTGCTAAAACAAGTGAACATCTATATGCAAAAAAATCAAATTTTATCTTATATGATATAAAGGAAATTAACTCCAAATGTTAATGACTTCATTAAAACCTAATTATTAGAGTTTTGGAAAAAAAATCCAACATTTCTAACCTTGGATTCAGCAAAACTTTCTTAGATAAATCTCTCAAAACATAAGTCATAAAAGATAAATTTCAGAAATTAGATTCCATAAAAATTTAAAACTTCTCTTCGAAAAACACTTATAAATATGTAAAGACAAGCCACAAAGTGGGAAAAAGTATTTATAAGACACATATCTCTATCCAGGACATATAAAGAACTCTTACATGCCAATAGTAAAAAGGCAAACTTAATTAAAAAATATGGGCAAAATGTGTGACAAAAGAAGATACATGGATGACAAATAAGCATATGAAAAGTTTTGCAACATCAAAATCATTAGGGAAACGTTAATTAAATAAAACACCAATACAAACCTACTAGAACAAGTAACATTTAACTACTGCTGGCAGAATTGTACCCTGGTAAAATCCAGTTGGAAAACACTTTCTAGTACGTACAAAAGCTCAACATATGTATATTACATAATTCATCAATTTCATTCCTAGGAGACATATATATATATGTCTTAAATAGTGTTGTTTTTTCAACTTTTAAGCTCAGGAGTACATATATATATGTCTATGTCTCCTAGGAATGAAATTCCTATATATCTATATATGTGCGTGTATATATATCTGTATGTGCATATAGATACACATATATAAGAATTTTCATCTTAGCACTATTTTAATAGCCAGAAATTTGAAATAACTAAAAGCCCTAAAAGTCCATCAACAGTACCATGAATAAATAAATGTTGTTATATTGAAACATGGAATGTGACACAGCAGTAAAAAGAAAGAACTAAAAGCTGCATTTGATACAGGCAAGAGGCAGGGAGATACTGGGTAGAAGAGGGCGGTTCCCTGACAAAGGCCCCACCCTCAAGCCTGGAAACCCATGGCCCCTAAATCAGAACAGGCATTCCTGTTTCATGCCCAAATGTTGCCTTTCAGCCTGCCATGCCACCCTGCTCAATAGCCATATAAATTCCAAACCCCCGGCTCCATGAGCAGAAGATAAGAAGAGCAGAGGAGCAGAAGAGCAGTGCATCAGAGAAGGAGAGAAGAGAAGGGGCATCTGAATGTCACAGACTGTCAGAGAGGAGATCGGCCACTGGATGGCCACACTCCAGGGAAAGATCATGTTCCCACTCCATCCCCTTTCCAGCTTCCCATCCATCCCGCTGAGAGTCACCTCTATCCAGCGATAAAATCCCAGCATCCACCATCCTTCAAGTCCGTTTGTGACCTGATTCTTCCCAGATGCTGGACAAACACCTGGGTACCAAGAAGGCACTAAGCTGGTTAACACTTAAGCCGTCTAAAGAGCACTGTAACACACCCACTGGGGCTTTGGGAGTTGCAGGCACCCACCCTTAGATGCTACCATAAGGCTGGAGCCCAAAAGTACTCACCCTATCTCCTGCACTTGTCTGTCTGGGTGCTCCCCCTCCCATGAGGGGCATTGAGCGCATGGCGGCCAGACAAGCCACACCCTTGTCGCATGTCCTTCCACAGGGGTTAGGGAACTCTCCCGTTTCACATTCAACAATATAGATAGACCCTGGAGATATAATATTGAGTAAAAGTCAGACTCAAAAGAGTATATCCATAAAATTCCATTTGTTTAAAGCTTTAAACAGGTAGAAAGAATGTACATGAAAGAAGTCAAAATAGTGGTTAATTTTAGAAGTCGGGATAATAACTAGGAGTCTTCTGGGGTATTAATAATGTAATTTATATCTTGTGTCTACATGGTTGTATTCAATTCATAAAATATATTAATTGGACACAGTGATCTTTTCACTTTTCTAATTAAAAGCTTATTTTGTATATATATTTTATATTTTATATACATATTTTTTTACTTCCAATTAAAAGTTGTTTATTATATTCCAATTAAAAAGTGTATTTTTAAAAATTACTAATTAACAAAATCTAATTTAGAAGTATGTCACTTTTTGTTTCTTCCTCTCTCTTTTGAAAGGTAATAAATTTTGCTTTTAATTAAGTATCAATAGCCATATATACAAGTACATAATATTGAGCTAAGTTATCTGGAGACATACCATAACATTCATCTATTTTTAAGTCTAGCAAAGGATAGTGTAATGAATCTTCAAGAACTCTAGTTTTCTTTGTCCTATGCTTTATATTAAAATATATTTTAATGAGGTATATAATTTTTTAATTAATTCATATACTTGAATAGGTTTCAGATAAGCTAATTCTGTGTTCTAGATGGTCATATTTTTTCATGGATGATCACTTTTAGTATAAAAGGCACTATTATTTACAATTTTATATGACCAAATTTTACTCATCAGCTACAGTCTAGCCATACAGGTCTCAACCTGAAAATAGTTTGGTTCTTAGAGAAAATAAAATTCCCCAAATCAAACTACTTTTGACTTAGTTATTTGTAACTTGTTATTCTTTTCAAAATTGCTAAATATTGTTATTTGCCTTAATGTAATAGAAAAACAAACAAACAGAAAACCGAATGTATTCTGAGTTAGGAGACCTGAGTTCCAGTGTGATCTGTGTTTCCGGGTGAACTTGGAGGAGGCGTTTACATTCCCATGTGTCACTTGGCTCATTTGTAAACATGAGAGTGGTGGATTTTATGTAAGATATTCCATAGCTTCAGTAAATATTGGTACAGACAGTTAAAGTTAGGTAAAATAGTAAAACTGATTTAAACATGACTACAGTGCCTGAGAAAATTTTTATGTATGAAACACTCACTCTTTAAGATGAAAAGATAAATTGCCACATACGAAAAAAGTATCAAAGCAAGACACCAAGACAGGAATCATGCCAGACAGTAAAACTGTTCATATTTATAAATTTTGAATCTAAAACATAACTTGTTATTTTAGGAATAAGCATGAGTATTTTTCATTTCTAAACTGTAGCTGCATACCTAAACACCCATCCTGAAATATTTTCCAAAAAATTATGCAACTCTTTCAAATTTCATTTCAATGTAGTACAAAGATTATATTATATAAACTCTATCTATAAAATGAACATTAAGAAAGATGAGTACCTACAAAGAAATTGTAAAAGGCAGCTATAGGTCAGGATCTTACAGATTATGGCATTTAAGATATGAAATTGTGTCCAACTTTCTGGGATGAATTGAGTGAGAAAAAAGGGAATTAAAAAACCACAGCAAGTTCCTAAAAATGTTATAGATAGTCACAAAGACAAAATGAGAATTTTGGTAGCCTTAAACCTAAACTGTTGTAATCTTCACCATATGACTTTGCCGATTCATTCTGATAAGAAAGTTCTGAGTCTCTGCTTTCAGAAGTGTCAGCTTCAACATTTGAGTGGCACTCCTGCTTAGCTCATGAAAAGATCACTTGAAGGCTAGCATTCACAGATAACCAATTACTCCACTTTATAACACTTGCAATGAGATAAACACTAGCTGAAACCTATACAGCCATTTGATAGAACATCTTTTATCAAGTGATAGATGAGAATCATAAAATTATCTTTAGAAAACAAAATTCAAACCTTAATTTTCAGGTCGAGTTACACCTCTTTCATAAAGCATTAACTGATGTTTCCAATTAGATATTCGCTCTCTTGTGTCAAACCCATAGTTCATTTGGACATTCTTATGATATTTGTCGTTATCATTGTACTATAGTGATTTGTGAATTTTTGTTATCTGACCTTATCCCATCCCTAGTTATCTTGTTTGATCCTTAAGGACAAGAATCATCATTACTCTTCCTTAAATCTTTCACAGTGCTGCATAGTACCTACTCAATAGTATTAAGTGTTTCTTGCTTAAACAAATGGGTGAGTAAATAAATGTTCTGGTTGAAATAAAACAAATAAAGGATGAAAGTCAATCCCAATGGTAAGACATCTTTTAAAAATGATTAGACTAGAAATGGACATTATACCTTCAGTATATCTGTGTTATTTCTTTAAAAACCTATCAAAAGATTGTGTTATTTATATATATACATATATGAGATGGAGTCTTGCTCTGTTGCCCAGGCTGGAGTGCAGTGGTGTAATCTCAGCTCACTGCAACCCCCACCTCCTGGGTTCAAGCGATTCTCATGCCTCAGCCTCCCGAGTAGCTGGGACTACAGGCAAATGCCACCATGCTTAGTTAATTTTTTGTGTTTTTAGTAGAGACAGGGTTTCACCATGTTGCCCAGGCTGGTCTCAAACTCCTGACCTCAGGTGATCCACCCACCTCGGCCTCCCAAAGTGCTGGGATGGGATAACAGGCAGGAACCACTGCACCCAGCCTTAATCATTATTTTTTTTAAAACAACATAGCAACATGTCACTAATCTAGAGATAACATATGACACCAACTACAAAGAACAGAGTTAGGAACCAGCATAAAAAGACCTCTAAACCAAGTAAAAGAGGTTTTGAAAGTTTTTTGAAACAGAAAGTATTGGTTTACATGATTAAAAACGACAACAATAAATAGCAAATCTTTAACGCATTATTCTACTAAGTTTAGCTACACAGCTATCATATTTATTTAATATGTAAAGGATCAAATGTAAAAAATGGACACAAGAGAAAGTCTGGAAAATTATAAAATACAGAGCTTCTGAGGACATTTGGTAGAATACATTATTTAGGAAGCCTTGCAACATTGGTGAACAAATGGTGAAATTGTCCTTGGGGATGAGGAACAAGGCAATCAATTCTATTCAATACCATCATTACAAACTCAGAGAAATAAGAATTATATATTAGAAAGAATTGTATTATTTGTATAATGATTAATTTTGTAAGTTTGAAAAGTATGATTAGGTTCCATTTACTTGGAAGACCTTATTTCTTGGTAATTCCACTAAGGCCAATTCAACTAAAAGACACATTTTTGAACTCCTACTAAATGCCAGAAATTGCTTATAAGTTGCAAGTGTGATAGGAAATTTTAATAAATTCTGAAAGATATGTAATGAAAAACCCTCAATAAAGCCCATTTTTGTGAAATCACCTTAACAACGTGCATTATTCAAATATGCAAGTCAATTGAGGTACAAAATAAAATTCCATTGAATGTATTTGGAGGAAATGAAAAGACTTGAGATCTATAAATAGTCTGTTCTTCAAAAGGATAAGGGTTATAGCAAGTTTTCTGTAAGAATGACATTCTATTCAAAAGCAATATAATGTTTTTGGCCCAGAAAGACCTGAAACAAAAACTCCAATATTAATATAATAATATACAGCCCCAGAATCACCTTTTTAATCATAATCTGGCAAGAGGTATTTTTCCCTCATTTACAAAAGAGAAATAAAATCTCTGTTTCAAAACAAGAGCTGTAATAGAAAGAAGAGGGAGGATGACTTAAAAAGCCAAAGAAATTACACCTAAAAGATTACATGTATTTTTAAAGCTTTAAGGGTTTTTGAGCTTCATTTAGTCCAACCTCTTATTTTATAATTGAGAAAATGAGATTTGCTATTAATCAGCTTCAGATATAAACCTGAAACCCAGTTTTTTTTTTACTGTCAGTTTACTTTGACAGGATCCCTTTCAAAACGTAAAATATATCAAATAAATTAAATAAAAACATTTGTTCTCACTTCAATGATGTGATACTTATATATTTTCACAGATATTTATGAAAAAATCTAACGTATACCATCAGTTTGGTGTATCCAAGCATAAGGAAAGTAACAGTAAATTTTCTAATCTAGAATCTTGTCTACAGACCAAGTGAGCATTCTATTAAAACAAAGCAATTTAGTATAATAACAGGAAGAAATTACCTCTAAATGCTTCATTGTTCTTTCAAAGGTACTAAAGAATATTCCTAAAACCCACAGACACCCACAGAAAATTGATGAGTTAGCCTGATGTCTACAATATATTTTGTTGGCAGCCAAAGTAAAATAAAAATATATCTGAAAAACTACTTCACTTTAGTAATGTCAAACAAATTTTAAAAAATTATTTGTATTATAAGACACTAGAGTAACTATAGACAAATTCATTGTACTTTAATGTTTTAAAATATAATATTAAATTTATTCAAGAATCTTTAAGAGTAAAACTATATTCTGTATTATTTTTAAATATTTAATGTACTATCATGAATATGATTAATTTAAATTCTGAAATTATTATACTCTGCTTTGAAAATAATTGACCTCACACTTTAAATATGTGCTTATTGTTTACAGAGAGATAGATGAGAAGACTTTGGACTTGAAAACGGTTTTGGACCTGAAAGCTTTGTCTGTAGCCCTAAAAGCTAGACCTAAATTCCACATATGTCATTGAATTTCTATGAAATTTGACAACTTAAATCACTGTAAAATTTGCTTTCTTGGTTTTCTCTTCTGCAAAAAGGAGATAATATCTTCAGGGGCATTGTAAACTTAAAATAAAAGTTGTCCATAAAAGTTTGTTGAAAAATAATACAACAGGTTTAAGTCTCTATTCTTTTTCAATATAAATTATTAGCTTATGTTATCTATAAAAAGAAGCGCTTATCAGGCCTGTAATCCCAGTACTTTGGGACGCCGAGGAGGGTGGATCACCTGAGGTCAGGAGTTCGAGACCAGCCCGGCCAACATGGTGAAACCCCGTCTCTACCAAAAATACAAAAATTAGGCGGGTGTGGTTGTGGGTACCTGTAATCCCAGCTACTCTGGAGGCTAAGGCAGGAGAATTGCTTGAACCTGGGAGACGGAGGTTGCAGTGAGCCGAGATCGTGCCACTGTACTCCAGCCTGGGGGACAAGAGCAAAACTCCATCTCAAAAATAAAAAAGAAAGGTTTAAATTAATGTAGCTTTTAAGACTCTTTTAGTCAAAAAGTCCAGTTAGGCATACATAACAGAGAAGAGAGTCATAAATTGTTATATTACCATATTATTGAAAAACTCCTGCCATATGTTTTCATAAATTGAAGTTTAGTGATTCTAATTATGGACATAAAAACAGAAAATACCTTAATTGAAATATAAAAGAATACTTGAAGTCTGTTTACTATTAACTTTATCTAAAATGATTTGACTCATGCTTTATTCACCAAATCTTGCATTTTTTTTCTAACACCACACATTTGGCAGTTTAAAACCCAACGGCTGGGCTTCTTGTGCGGCTCCATGAACATTTAGATAAGAAATCAACTGTAACTCTTGTACATTGCTGGAGTAAAAAGAAATTGGTTCAGCCACTTTGGAAAACTGTCTGCAAGTATCTACCAAAATTAAACATATGTCTTCCTTATGAGCCAGCAATTCCACTCGTAAGTATATATCCAAGAGAAAGGAGGGCACATGTTCACCAAAAGACACGTCAAGAAATGTATTCATAGAAACAATATTCATGATTGCTCAAAACTCGAAACAGACTAAATGTTCATCATAAAAATAGACAATTGAGGTTCTAAAATGGAATACTACACTGCAATCAAGGAAGAACAAAATTCTGATACATGTAAAAATGTGGATGAAGCTCACAGAAATTATCCTGGATAAAAGAAGCCAGTCACAAAAGCACCCATACTGTGTGATTCTATTTAGAGAAAGTTAAAAAAAAAAAAAAGCAAGCAAAACTCTCCTTGGTGATCGTAGTCAAAATTATTACTGCAATGGGATGCTGATGTATAAGAAAACCAAAGCATGTGGCATCACTGGTCTTGGCACTGGGCAGCAGACAGAAGGAAAAAGGGTCTTGAAGAAATTGTTAGTGATGGCTGGAAAGACAATGAAGACAATTTTATTGGAAATGAGAGAAAATGCAATTTGATTTATGTACTGGCAAAGCAATTAGCAAAACTCTGGCCTGAAATAACATGGGCTGTAGAGAGCGGTTGCATTAGTAGGGGTGGGGAGCGGGGGCTTAAAAGGAATAGTCTGTATTTTTATAGAGGTATGGTTACCTTGGTGTAAACATTTATTACAACTGTATTGATGATCAGCACTTGCTGTTACAGATCATTTATACTTCGATTAACAACAAGATAAAAATGTACTAAAAAGACAAAATTATCTTTAATGCATACTACTGGTATGTGTTATAGTTTAAAAGTTGTGTAAAAACAAAGCATTTACAGTTTTTGCCATATGTTATTGTTTTCTTTTTCTTTTTTTTTCTTTTTTGAGACACGGTCTCACCCTGTCACTCATGCTAGAGTGCAGTGGTGCGATCACAGCTCACCACAGTCTCAAAATCCCGGGGTCAAGCAATCCCCCGACCTCAGCCTCCTGAGTAGCTGGGACTACAGGTGAGCACCAACATGCCCAGCTAATTGATTTAATTTTTTTGTAGAAACAAGGTCTTGCTATGTTGCCCAGGCTGGTCTCAAACTCCTGGGCTCGAGCAATCCTCCTGCCTTTGCTTCCCAAAGTGTAGGGATTACAGGCATGACCCACTACACCCAGTCGTTAACATTTTCAAATAACATGAGACCCACAACAGCTCTAGTTCATAAAAATTACATTGAGATTTTTCATTTATCTCAGTGTCGTGCCATCAACTCCTTGAATTATCCATGTTCTCTGTACTTTTTAAATAGTAGAATGCTGAGAAAGCTTGTGTCTGCAACAAATGTATGTGAATTATGTCAATAAAAACAATCATAAATAACTTCTTAGTCAAAATTTCTTGTCGTTATTTTAAGTTTGAGCTTTTTATGTAAAACATCAAGATTTTACATCAAATTAAAAAGGCTGATGCAATCAAAGACATCAAAAAAGACTTCAAGTATCAGGGTATAGTGGATTGACAGATAATAATCTAGGCAAGGAAGTTAAGATAATTGGAAAACATCACATTAGACTTTGAAACATATATTGTGATGCACATGTACATGTGCAGTTTTTCATGTAGAAAGATGGCACAAACGTCCTTCCATTAATAAGACCCTAAACTTGAATGGATTTTTATTTTTTTATGATCATTCTATGATCAAAATATACAGCCCAGATGTAGCTAATAACAGTATTCCCTATATTTCCTCTCCCCTTTTTTTTTTTTTTTTTGAGATGGGGTCTCACTCTGTTACCCAGACTGCAGTGCAGTAGTATGATCTTAGCTCTCAGCTTACTGCAGCCTTGACCTCCCTGGGCTCAAGTGATCCTTCTACCTCAGCCTCTCAAGTAGCTGGGACTACAGGCATGTGACACCATGCCCAGCTAATTTTTGTATTTTTTGTAGAGACAGGGTTTTGTCATGTTTCCCAGGCTGGTCTTGAACTCCCAGACTCAAGTGATCCATCCACCTTGGTCTCCCAAAGTGCTGGGATTACAGGCATGAGCCACTACACCAGGCCTTCCCTATATATTTTTAAACAATATACATCTGAGCATTCTGAAGAGAGTTCTTTCCACCTGTTATGGGCTGAGTTGTGTCTCGCACCTGCAAATAACATGAGACCCACAACAGCTCTAGTTCATAAAAATTTCTGGTTCCAAATAACCAGAAAATGGCACTTTCAATTTTTCCATCTCACAAGATCTAGATAATTCTTGTCATAAAATGGGCAAACGGTCTGAGGTGCCTGACGTCCAGGCATTCTTTTACACATCAGTCCCTCCCTAGTCGCTGTTCCCAATGTGGCTCATCCCAAATCTTCCTTCTTTCCCTCCTGCCTGTCCCCTCAGTCCCAACCCCCAGCGTTGCTGAGTCTTTTCAATCTTCCTTTTCTACCAACCTATCTGACCTCTCCCCTCCTCCCCAGACTGCTCCTCCTCAGGTCGCTCCCCACCAGGCTGAATCAGGCTCCAATTCTTCCTCAGCCTCTGCTCCCCGACCCTATGATCCTTCTATCACCTCCTCTCCCCACATCCAGTCCAGCTTACAGTTTTGTTCTGCGACTAGCCCTCTCCCACCTGCCCAGCAATTTCCTCTTAAAGAGGTGGCTGGAGCTAAAGGCATAGTCAAGGTTAATGCTCCTTTTTCTTTATCCAACCTCTCCCAAATCAGTTAGCATTTAGGCTCTTTTTCATCAAATATAAAAACCCAGCCGAGTTCATGGCTTGTTTGGCAGCAATCCTGAGACGCTTTACAGTCCTAGACTCTGAAAGGTCAGAAGGCTGTCTTATTCTCAATATGCATTTTATTACCCAATCTGCTCCCGATATTAAATAAAGCTCCAAAAATTAAATTTCAGCCCTCAAACCCCACAACAGGACTTAATTAACCTCTCCTTCAAGGTGTACAATAATAGAGAAGAGTTGCAATTATTTGCCTCTGCTGTGAGAGAAACCCCAGCCACACCTCCAGCACAGAAGAACTTCAAAATGCCTAGCCACTGCAGTCAGGTGTTCCTTCAGGATCTTACTCCTCCTTCCCCAGGATCTTGCTTCAAGTGCCAGAAATCTGGCCACTGGGCCAAGGAATGCCCACAGCCTGGGATTCCTCCTAAGCCATGTCCCATCTGTGCGGGACCCCACTGGAAATCTGACTGTCCAACTCGCCCAGAGCCCCTGGAACTCTGGCCCAAGGCTCTCTGACTCCTTCCCAGATCTTCTCAGCTTAGCGGCTGAAGACTGATTCTGCCTGATCCCCTTGGAAGCCTACAGGACCATCACAGATGCTTTGGGTAACTCTTACAGTGGAGGGTAAGTCCTTCCCCTTCTTAATCAATATGGAGGCTACCCACTCCACATTACCTTCTTTCCAAGGGCATGTTTCCCTTGCCTCCATAACTGTTGTGGGTATTGACGGCCAGGCTTCTAAACCTCTTAAAACTCCCCAACTCTGATGCCAACTTGGACAACATTCTTTTATGCACTCCTTTTTAGTTATCCCCACCTGCCCAGCTCCCTTATTAGGTCAAGACATTTTAACTAAATTATCTGCTTCCCTGACTATTCCTGGGCTACAGCCACGCCTCTTTGCTCCCCTTTTCCCCAGTTCAAAGCCTCCTTCACATCCTCCCCTTGTATCTCCCCACCTTAATCCACAGGTATGGGACATCTCTACTCCCTCCCTGGGAACCAATCACATGCCCATTACTATCTCATTAAAACCTAATCACCCTTACCCCACTCAATGCCAATATCCCATTCCAATATTCCCTCACCTGTTACAGCATGGCCTTTTAAAGCCTATAAACTCTCCTTACAATGCCCCCATTTTACCTGTCCAAAAAGCAGACAAGTCTTACAAGTTAGTTCAGGATCTGCACCTTATCAACCAAATTATTTTGCTTATCCACCCCGTGGTGCCAAACTCATATACTCTCCTATCTTCAATACCTCCCTCCACAACCCATTATTCTGTTCTGGATCTTAAATATGCTTTCTTTACTATTCCTTTGCACCCTTCATCCCAGCCTCTCTTCACTTTCACTTGGACTGACCCTGACACCCATCAGTCTCAGCAACTTACCTGGACTGTACTGCCTCAAGCCTTAATGGACAGTTCCCATTACTTCACTCAAGCCCTTTCTCATAATTTACTTTCTTTCCATCTAACTGCTTCTCACCTTATTAAATATTTTGACAACTTTCTACTTTATAGCCCCTCCTACAAATCTTCCCAGCAGGACACCCTCCTGCTCCTCCAACAGCTGTTCTCAAAAAGATATCTTGTATCCCCCTCCAAAGCCCAAATTTCTTCCTCATCTGTTACCTATCTTGGCATAATTCCTCATAAAAACATATGTGCTTTCCCTGCTGTTTGTGTCTGGCTAATCTCCCAAACCCCAACCCCTTCTACAAAGCAACAACTCCTTTCCTTCCTAGGCATGGTTAGGTACTTCCACCTTTAGATACCTAATTTTACCATTCTGACTAACCCATTATATAAACTCACACACACACAAAAAGCCTAGCTGACCCCATAAATCCTAAATCCTTTCCCCACTCCCCTTTCCATTCCTTAAAAAACAGCCCTAGAAGCTGTTCCCACACTAGCTCTCCCTAATTCATCCCAACACTTTTTTCATTACACACAGCCAAAGTGCAGGGCTATGTGGTTGGAATTCTTACACAGGGACCGGGACCATGCCCTGTAGCCTTTTTATCCAAACAACTTGACCTTAATGTTTTGGGCTGGCCATCATGTCTCCATGCAGCGGCTGCCACCACCCTAATACTTTTAGAGGCCCTAAAAAAAACTATGCTCAACTCACTCTCCACAGTTCTCATAACTTCCAAAATCTATTTTCTTCCTCACACCTGCTGCATATACTTTCTGCTCCCTGGCTCCTTCAGCTGTACTCACTCTTTGTTGAGTCTCCCACAATTAATGTTATTCCTGGCCTGGACTTCAATCCGGCCTCCCACATTATTCCGGATACCACATCTGACCCCCATGACTATATCTCTCTGATCCACCTGACATTCACTCCATTTCCCCATATTTCCTTCTTTCCTGTTCCTCACCCTGAACACACTTGGTTTATTGATGGCAGTTCCACCAGGCCTGATCGTCACTCACCAGCAAAGGCAGGCTATGCTATAGTAACTTCTACATCATTTCATAACCTCTTCATGTAGGTTACAAGCCGCTAGCCCACCTCTTAGAACCTCTCATTTCCTTTCCATTGTGGAAATCTATCCTCAAGAAAATAACTTCTTAGTGTTCCATCTGCTATTCTACTACCCCTCAGGGATTTTCTCAGGCCCCCTCCCTTCCCATCAAGATCGGGGATTTGCCCCTGCCCAGGACTGGCAAATTGACTTTACTCACATGCCCCGAGTCAGGAAACTAAAATACCTCCTAATCTGGGTAGATGCTTTCACTGGATGGGTAGAGACCTTTCCCGCAGGGTCTGAGAAGCCCACCACAGTCATTTCTTCCCTTCTGTCAGACATAATTCCTCAGTTTGACCTTCCCACCTCTATACAGTCCGATAACAGACCGGCCTTTGCTAGTCAAATCATCCAAGCAGTTTCTCAGGCTCTTGGTATTCAGTGGAAACTTCATACCCCTTACTGTCCTCAATCTTCAGGAAAGGTAGAACGGACTAATGGTCTTTTAAAAACCCACCTCACCAACCTCAGCCTCCAACTTAAAAAAGATTGGACAATACTTTTACCATTTACCCTTCTCAGAATGTGGGCCTGTCCTTGGGATGCTACAGGGTACAGCCCATTTGGGCTCCTGTATGGACGTTCCTTTTTATTAGGCCCCAGTCTTATTTCAGACACCAGCCCAACTTGAACTGCACCCCAAAACTTGTCATCCTTGCTATCTTCTGTCTAGTCATACTTCTATTCACCATTCTCAACTACTCATAAATGCCCTGCTCTTGTTTACACTGCTGGTTTACACTTTTCCTTCAAACCATCATAACTGATATCTCCTGGTATTACCTCAAACCGCCACCCTGAAGTCTCTCTGAAAGTGGATAGATGATCTTTGCTGACAGGGTACACTCCATTACTTTCACCCTGATGAAGTCCTGTTCTTTACTTTTATACTCACTCTTATTCTCATTCCCATTCTTATGCCATACGCTACCTCTCTCCAGCTATCTCCACCACACTATCAATCTCACTCACTCTCTCCTAGCTATTTCGAATCCTTCTTTAACAAACAATTGCTGGCTTTGCATTTCTCTTTCCTCCAAAATCGCCGAGGCCTCGACTTACTGCTAAAAAAAGAAGACTCTGTATATTTTTAAATAAAGAGTGTTGGTTTTTACCTAAATCAATTTGGCCTTGTGCATAACAACATGAAAAACTCAAGGATAGAGCCCAAAAAACTCACCAACCAAGCAAGTAATTACTCTGAACCCCCTTGGGCACTCTCTAATGGATGTCCTAGGTCCTCCCAATTCTTAGTCCTTTAATATCTGTTTTTCTCCTTCTCTTATTTGGACCTTGTGTCTTCCATTTAGTTTCTCAATTCATACAAAACCATATCCAGGCCATCACCAATCATTCTATATGACAAATGTTTCTTCTAACAACCCCACAATGTCACCCCTTACCACAAAATCTTTCTTCAGTTTACTCTCACCCACTCTAGATTCCCACGCCGCCCCTAATCCCACTTGAAGCAGCCCTGAGAAACATCGCCCATTATCTCTCCATACCGTTGCCAAAACTTTTCGCTGCCCCAACTCCTCAACACTATTTTGTTTTATTTTTCCTATTAATATAAGAAGACAGGAATGTCAGGCCTCTGAGCCCAAGCCTGCACATATACATCCAGATGGCCTGAAGCAAGTGAAAAATAATGAAAGAAGTGAAAATGTCCGGTTCCTGCCTTAACTGATGAAATTGCCTTGTGAAATTCCTTCTCCTGGCTCAGAAGCTCCCCCATTGAGCACTTTGTAACCCCTGCCCCTGCCTGCCAGAGAACAACCCCCTTTGACTGTAATTTTCCATTACCTACCCAAATCCTATAAAACGGCCCCACCCCTATATCCCTTGGCTGACTCTCTTTTCGTACTCAGCCTGCCTGCACCGAGGTGATTAAAAAGCTTTATTGCTGACACAAAGCCTGTTTTGTGGTCTCTTCACATGGACGTGTGTGACAACCACCTCGACCTCACACTTCCAGCTCCCTGGACTGTGAGAACACAAATGTTTGTTGTTTAAGCTCCCCAGTGAGTGGTCCTTTGCTATGGCAACCTTGAAAAACTAATACAGTGCCTCATTGCAAAATAATACCTTTGGAAGTAAATTACTGTCTCCTGTTTTTTTTCCTATGTAAATCTATCTTTTCATATATTGTGTAACTTGCGATAACCCACACCAATTGACCAGAATGTGAAATAGATGACTAAACCAGCAGATGACATTCCACACTGCAATGTCAAGAGCAAGACACCTGCGGCATCCTCTTTCCATTGGCATCCTTAATTCTGCTCATTCAGCAAGCATTTCGATCACCCTCAGGTGTCTGGGTTGTTTTTTTTTTTTTCTGTTAGTGTGTATGTTTTTGTTTTTTCTTTTTGTTTTGCCAGAATCTTGGTAAATACTCTTGAATCTGAGTCTTCCACTCTACTAATCTGAAATGTTGGCACCAGATATTTTGGAATACTGGTAAAATGTAGGAACTGTGTGAGACAAGACAGTGGAGAGAAAAGAACACTGGACCCAGAAATCAGACTAAATTAGTGGTCCTGCTTAAGGCTATCTAGTTGTCTGAAGTTGAACCATCTGCTCCTTTGGGGACGTAATTCTTCACTGGTATCAGTGATTCACAAGCATTAAATCAATTAAAATATCCCAGGGAGTTTTTAAACAGACAAGCATCTGCGACCTACTCCACTTGGTTTTCAAACTTGCTTGGACATTAGAATCATCGGTCAAATTTAAAAATAATGCTCTCTCGACCCCATTCTCTAGAGATTCTGACTTAATTGATTTCACTTGTTTCACATGTGGCCTTGGCATTGCGATTTTTAAAAGCTCCTTGCATTCAAGGATGACACCCACTGCCCTGGACAGTATGAGTTAATTGGTGTAAGGAAGAACCTGGGCAATGGTATGTTTTAATTACCCAGGTGATTCCAATGCATGTTAATTCCCCAGGTTATGCCAATGCACAACCATAGGACGTAAAAATAGAATAATGCTCCTCCCAGCTCTAACATTTTGCAATTTTTCTAACTTTTTGTGAGATACTAGATACCTATTAGACATTTCAAACCACATACAGATAGAAACAAGTTTACTTACTCATAGTCTCATTAACTAATTAGAGAGCGTGAACTTTCAGTTTTGTGAGTTAAACACCTTTCGGGTGTTTTTGACTGTTTCTGAGTGTGCCTAAGGCAGAAAGAGAGGAGAGGCTATGTGTGAAATTGGGTTACCATCCCAGTCCCAGCTGTATGATGGATGCAATTATTTCAGGAAGGAACACATGCACAAAGATGAAGGCACAAATCGTAATTGCTTCTATGATAGTAATTTAGTTTCCAAGAGTAAAAGATTCAAACCAGCATCTCCCATTAGTCTAACAACAATTACATAGTTTTCCCTTTCATCCATTTCTTTCAAGCTTTTCTTATATTTGAAGCTTTCTAAAGGGTATTTGAGTGATCTAACATTAACCACCCACACACTGTATTTTGGACTATTATTAACACAGTAGATGATCTTTACAACTTAGTGAAGTTCCCAGAAGCATTATTGCTAATTTTTTTAAAGAGGGCCTCTAAATCACTTGCCATTTCTTCTGATTTATATCTAAGCCAGAATTGTTTTCAAGTGACCTTTAGTTTATTCTACTTAAAGCTTAAAAATGACTATAGCTAGCAGCATGATGTAAGTGCATTTTGAACTTTGAAGTTTTATATTTCAGTTTACATAAATGCAGAAAGATTAGAAGATACAATGTGACAAAGTAAAATACAACAGTGCACTCACATCCTCCTTTTAGGTTGCTTAAACAGCCATATAATTATCAGAAAGAAATTAGGTAAAGGACGGGGTAGGGACTGGTTTATAATCACTAACAAGAAAATGCGTCAGTTTTTGGTTGAATAGAACATATATAAATATATAACCTGTATTAAAGTGAATTTAATTTTAGTCTCTAGAGAAATGAGGAGATAATCACTCTGCTCCATACATTGCTTACCAAATCAAACTTGTAGTGTTAAGTTCTAAAAAATACTTCATTGTATCAGTAAACACGTCATTGAGTTAGATACCAGTAATCAAACAATGAATCCAGCAGGAAGTAACCAAACATACTACTCGTGAAAAGTTGAAAGAAAAGTGGAAAGATAATTACACTGCATGATCAAAATGCCATAAAAAGACTTGGATGTAATTATCAGAAAGCATACTGTGAACTAAAATAAAGAGAAGTTTCTAAGAGCCTGCATTTGGGAATTTGATGAGGCCCTGAATACTGAAAGCCACTTATGCATAGGTTGAAAACACTTCATAAGGAAACCATGGGACAGTTATAGGTACAGATAGGGTTAGGCTGTTAAGAAGGCATACACAGACATTGTAACACTTTTGCAACTCTGCGATCTGACAAAGTAGCAGTTGTGTTTTGAAACTGTTGGATATAAATATCATCTACTGCCCTACTATTCAAGTATGATGTGTCAAAATACTAAATGCTAAAAGTATCAAAGTTTATCTTTTCTTTATAACATTAAATCAGCTGCTCTTGATGTTTTTTTTAGCTGAAGACTTTGAAAATTATTACTGACCACGTGATTTTTTTTGAGAAGAGTATTGCTTTAATACCAACCTTTCTGTTAGTAACTTAACCATAGAGTGTTGCCAAAATAATTGGTTCTTAGCTGCAAAAATAAAAATAAATAATAAATAAATAAATAAAAATAAAATAAAATAAATTTTAAAAAATCACTTCATTTCAAAGGCAATGTTTTTCTCCTCCTAATATTCAGAGAGCTGTATTGAGAAGGTGAAAAAATGTTGTTTACTATAACACAGACATAAAACAGACAATGTGGAAATATTGACTTTTCCTTTACCAATCTATTAAATAGGTTTCAATACCTTTAAGGAGCTAAATTGTAAACGATTAGAATCCCTTCCTATTTTCTCCAAACACCCAGACCTGAAAATGAAAATAATTCAGATTCATAAAGGAAGAATCAGTTCTAAGCCATATTATTGTCTTTTAATTTGGAAAAATCATGACCTTGCTAATTGTTTCTGGTTTCCCATGTACCAAGAGTAGTTACTTTATATTATTCTTTCCTCTATGGGAAGATATTTCATTGCAGTGATCTCTGGGGAAGAATTCTGTAATCTTCCCAGGCCAATCTAAGCATCTGGAGGAAAATATTAGAAGAAATTAAAACAGCATGTTCTCATTTTGCCTTCCTCAAATAATCAATTTTTCTCTGGGATTTCTTGACATGTCTAGACACATTGAATTGAAAAAATTAGTTGTTGGGACAAATTTCCCTTCTTGATTAAAGCCTAGGTAGATTGGGGGAAGATGAAGAAACAAAAGAGAAAACATCTAAATAAAATACTGTGTCTCCTTTCCTTATTCCCATGCACTTCGTGGTTAATACATTTAAATGACTTTTTAGAGATTTTAATTAAAATATTTTAATACGCATGAATTTTTTTTACTACATGGAGCACATTTATCCAGTCCTGCATAGCAAATTTCAAATATATAGATCTACAGAAATGTTGGGAAAAATCACTTCATTAAACTTGGGAATTACATACTATTATGGGATCTCAAGGAGGAAGAGAACCAATCCAATATTATGAATCATATAGTTTAGAAATGAAAATGGAATTCATTTAATAGAAACCCCTTATATGTATAGCTGATGAAACTGAGGCTATTTAATTAAGGTCACATAGCAACATCAATATAAACTGCATCTGAATGTCTAACATTTGGAAGTTAGAGGCTGGGCATGGTGGCTCACGCCTGTAGTCTCAGCACTTTGGGAGGCTGAGGTAGGTGGATCACTTGAGCCCAGATTTCGAGACAAGCCTGGGCAACATGATGAAACCCCATCTCTACAAAAAAAACACAAAACTTAGCTGGGTGTTGTGGGGTGCACCTATAGTCCCAGCTATTTGGGAGGCTGAGGTAGGAGGATCAATTGAACCCAGGAGGTGGAGGTTGCAGTGAGCCTAGATCATGCCACTGCACTCCAGCCTGGGTGACAGAGCAAGACACTGCCTAATATATATATATATATTATATATATGGAAGTTTTATATATATATATATATATAAATTATATATATGGAAGTTATATATATATAATATACATGGAAGTTATATATATATGGAACTTATATATGTATGGAAGTTTTATATATATATATATATATATGGAAGTTAGATATTTTATGACTTAACCTTATAGAGTGTGACAGCTCTGTAAACTATTTTCAAGAGTGTGATCAATTTATGACTATTTTTATATATGTAATAATTTGCATTTCAATGACCAGCACTGCCTAATTCCCTACAGGATCCTCTTCGTACCCCAAGTCTGTGTTATTCTTCCCGCCTCCCCTTTCCTACTTACAGAACTCCGACTGCCACAGTAATTTTTTCTAAAATATTTATCATGCTATATAGAATTAACTCAAGTTCACACAGGTTGCAGAGCTGAACTTGAGCCATGGTCTCCTGTGTCTTAGTTCTGTTCCCATATGTCTCAATCCAATGTTGTGTTAACTAATAATTACATTTTGTCCCTACAAAAACTACAGTTTTTATGAACTAAACTGAAATTACTATTCGAGGTAGCAATTGAGCAGCAGGCTGTATATGTAAAGGTAAATTTTAAGTTGCTACAACAAAAATATTCCCCCAAATACGGTGGCTTAATTAAGATAGAAATTTATTTATTTCTCACGAAGAGCCCATGGTGCTGGGAAGGCTCTGCCTATATTCTGTTGTTCAGAAACTTAAGTTCCTGTATCTCGTCACACTGCCAAGTATAGTGTGACCTTAGATGATGCCTAGAGGTTGCCACATCTGTATTCTGGCCTTCAGAGAGCAGAAAGAGAGACAGAAGTCTACATGTTCAATATTTTCAGGCCAAGAACTGGAAGTGGCCAAATTATTTTTGTTTACATCACATTCACTAAATCCAAAAAAAGACCCTTGGCTCCAGGGGATGCTGGAAAACATAATTTCTAGCTGGACAGCCACCTGCCCAGTTTGAACTCTGGTTGAGTGTGGGATAGTTCTAACGATTCAGAAAGAAGGGAATTATGATACCAGAGAAGGAGGCAATTAGTCATCTCTGCCTCACTGGGGGCTATTATTTACCTTTGCTTGGTCTTAGAAAAGAGACCAGGATTTTAGGTAAATAATGAGGTCAGATTTGTTATTGCAAGGACAAAGTTATCAAAAGCAATGAAGCATTCAATGTAAAGAATTTGGTGACATTATTTTGTTGATCAGTGGCCCAGTTTCTACTGCCTAAGAAACTCAATACCAAGTATTAAAAATACCTCTGCTTAATTCCCCAAGAAAAGTCTTTTAAAAAAAAGAGTGAAAAGAAAACGTATACATCATAGATGGCATCTGTTTGTGCAGCCAAATTGATTTAGATGAGTAATAGAGCCCATTTTAATGAACCATAACTGTAATTTAAACTGGTTGTTCTGTGCAGCATTTTAACTCACTTTATAGACCCAGAATATGATTTGCTATAACTGAGGATACATATTACCTTGCTATGAAGCCAGTAGGGAGGGCAGCTGCCTAAAGCTGATAATTTAACACTCCCTTCCTTGGCAATTTCAACAAAATTGCTGAATAACAGAGATGAGGGTGGTAATTGTCTAGGGTACTGGGGTCAACTGTTTCAACTTTCCTCGTTTGTCAAAAGGCAGTGATTTAGTACTTTGAGCAGACAATTCTTAGTGTTATAGAGAACTTCCTGACCAGCTCTTCATCTTTGAATCACATGTAGGAAGACATTTGACTGCAGAAATATCTCTTCAGCTAGACAATGATGTTGATGACATCATATTTCTTTACTTAGCTTCTCATTTTCTCCTCTCTTAAATTCACTCCTAGATAAAGGGATGGAATTAGTCAAATTCTTTCTCCTCTAATAGATGAAACATTATTATAAGGCTAACATATTTGCTGACATTAGATGCTAAAGCAGAAATGAGAGGTCCAAGCAGATCATGAACTCCTTGGTTCATGATTAAGAAGCTTCCATCTTAGAAGCTGTGTCATCTTAGCAAAATAATGCAAAGTGGGGAATATTTTAAGGCTACAAAAGAAATATTTTAAAAAATATATTTTTAAGGCTACAATGTAAACAGTTTGGATATTTTAGTACACAGTTAGATAAGAAGGTACTCAGAATTAAGAGAAAGGTGTTAAAGAGCCAATAAAGAGTACCTATATTTAGATACCTAAAGCCAGGGAGAAGGACTGGAAAAATCTAACAATGTGAGAATGGGATAAGTTAAATGCAATTGATAATAATGAATTTTAAAGTCAAGGAGGCCTACCATTAAGTATTTCTCGAGCATTTATTAAGTAGTTATGACAAGCTAGGAACTGCTGTCAGTATCTTATTAAAAAGAATACCATGCAGTCTTTGTGAGACAGCCAAGTATAAAGGGGTCCCCAAGGAAACTCCAACCACCCTGCGCTCTGGGAGGAGTGCACACTGGGGTGGAGCCTCAGGAAGTTTGCACCATTTGCGGCAGGGTAGGAGCCTGGCCTTTCCTCATCCAGTGTGTGGTAACCTGGGGATTCAATCTGTGAGATGGGGACTTGTTAACAGAAACTTCTCTTGCTTTGCTGAGTCTTTTTTTCCTTTCACCCAATAAACCTTGCCCTCCTCACCCTTCAGATTGTCCGCCAGCCTAATTTTTCATGGTTGTGTAACAAGAACCCCATCTTTAGCTGAACTAAGGAAAAAGTCCTACAACATTTGCACCCCAGCTAGCAGGATATTTTATTTCAATGCGGGCATTTCTTCTATAATATAATCAAACTATGGAATACAATTTTTTATAGGTTTTGCTGGTCATCTTGAAATACCACAGCTTTATTTGTGAAGGTTAATAATTTAATATAACAATTGGAGATAGAGACAATAAGAATTTCTAAGATACACTGGGTTAATGATAGATCTGAAGAGAACAGGAAAGGCAGGTCCACTTATCTTGAATCATGGCTACATATAATCAAGGTGAGTTTCTCTCATGCAGTTAGGCTGTAGGGATTTGCATCTATAGCTCTACACTTATATCTAATATCCCACCTTTCATGCAGAAATACCTTCAGATAAAACAATACAATACAAAACTTTGTTCTGTGAGTCTCTAACTCCTAACTACCTACTTATTTAACCCTTATAACAACTTTCTGAGGTAGGTTTTATTAATATTGACACTAGCAGCTAAGGAAAATATGTCACAGGGAAGCTAAGTGCCCCGCCCAAAGTCATACAAAATGATGTCGCTGAAGTAGTCCAAGAACTTCTCCTATTTACTTGGGTAAAAATTGTACAATCTTCAAAGATCAGTAAAACAATTTCCAATGTTTCCTTGATTTCTTACTAATTATTAAGATTCTTTTAGTTTTACTAGCTTTCAGCTTTATTGAATGACACAATATAGCTAGAAGAAATTATTACACTTTTCAAGTGAAAATTACGCAGGGAATCAACTTAAAGTAAAGCATAATTCTTCCCTAAAGTTAATATCTTTTTAAATTTCAAACTAATATCTTTTAAAATCAAAATGAAGGCAATCCACTTTACAGTTGATAGTGTACATTATGAATAGTAATTTTATATTAACAAATATTTAGAAAAGGATTGTCTTTTCTGTCTTATGTCTTACTGTTTATGGTCTCTTTCAATTATTTGTGTTAATTTTATGTTGCTACCATAACAAATTACCACAAATTTAGCAGCTTAAAATAACACCTATTTATTATCAGAAATAAAGGTACAAAATAATGCTGTTTTGTCCTCAGTTTAGAGGCTCACAAAGCCAAAATCAAGGATGCATTCTTTGCTGGATGCTCTGGGAATACAGCCACATCCAAGTTTATTTATATTTTTCCTGGATTCAGTTTTTTTGTGAAAAAAAAAAAAACTTGCTGACTGATGGGGAGTGCAGAAGAGGGTGATCTTAGTTCCTTTATGCTGCTATAAAAGAATATCTCAGACTGGATAATTTATAAAGAACAAAAATTTACTTCCTCACAGCTCTAGAGACTGGTAAGTCCAAGATCATGAAGCTAGCATTTTGTGAGGGCCTTCTTGCTGGGACCTCACATGGCAAAAGAACAAAAGAGAGTGAACTCACTCCCACAAGCCCATTTTACAGTGGCATTAATCCATTCGTGAGGGCAGAGTCCTCCCTCCCAACACTGTTGCATTGGAGATTAAATTTCCAGCACGTGAATTCTGAGGGACACACTCAGACTGCAGCAGGAGAATCATCTTTCTTCTGGGTTTTCCTTCATTTCTTCTCATGTTTTCCACGTGGCCACCTCTCCAGCAATCTGAATTGAGTTGCTCTGATAGTTCAGGTCTCTCTCAATTCATCTTTAACCACATCTCTCTGACTCCAGGCAGAAAAGTTCTCTGCTTTTAGAGGCTCATGTGATTAGATTGGCCCCACCCAGACAATGGTAGCATTCTGGATATGGTAGCATTCTGCCTACCATATCAGTAATAATATATTTTCACTGGATGCCAAAGGAAATACGGCACTTTGTAGTTTTTGCCCTTTTTGTTTACTGAGTTTGTTTTTAACTTTAGGAGACTTTTCCTAACATCTTTTTCAATTTTTTTTGTGAATAAAAAGCCTATTTTTTAATTATGAGAAAGCTCATAAATAAACACCAAATAGTACGGTGACAGATTTTCATAATAATGTTCTGAAATTCAGTGCTATAAAGATGGCTTAGATCTACTTCTACTGTACATTTCTAATTTTTCACTATGATTTAAACAATTTTTAACACATGTTACATGAATAACTAAGGCAAGCATTTCCTGAGCAGAGTGGATCAGTCAAAAATATCCTTTATCCTCTTCATTTTTCAAGAGGAGACAGGAATGCTATCTAGAATGCCAATAAATGAAGATGCATTTTTCTTGAGGAAGCCACTCAAAATAGTAAGAGAGAAAGTGTCAAACCAAGCATTTTTAGATGGTTTCTTAAAATGCAGAACTTTTGCATTAAAATATTGACTTCATAATATGTGGTTGATTTGTTTTTGTTTTGTTTTGGAGTTTTGTTCTCGTTGTTTGTTTTTCTCTGTCTCATTATCATATCCTTATTTTATAGCCTGTAGTTAATTCTATTCAGTCAAAAAACAAAACAAAAACAACAAAAAATGAGCCTCTCTGTTGGCTTGCCTGAGCAGACAGACAGAACTCTAAGGTCTTTATCATTTCTTTCTTTTTCTCACACCTCACATCCAACTCACCCATATTAACTGAAAAAATATATTCCAAATCTAACAACTTTTCAGTACCCTCAATGCAAATCCTAGTTCAAGTCAGCCTCATGCTCCATGACAACTATTTCAATAACCTCCTGATTGCTGTGCTTGCTTTAGCTCTTGCTCCTCTAAATCCATCCCCCACAGAGTAGCCAGAAAAATCTTTCTAAAATGAAAACCAGGTCATGTCACTTCCTCCTCAAAACTTGCCAATGATTTCCCATTGCAAAATCAACAAGTTCCAAATTTCTTAACTATGTGGTCTCCAAAATCCTCTAATATAAATTTCTGTAATATGCCTGCCTGTCAGCACATACCACAGTTCACATTACTCTGTTCCAGGTAACTGGCCTTCTTGCTAATTCTTGACGATAACAAGCTCATTAGCCTTTTCATTTTGCACTCATTGTTCCTTCTCCTTGTCATCCTCAACTCAAATATCATGTCTAAAGACATACTCACCACCCTAGTCCTCTTCTGCTTCTTTACAATTGTATGTTTGTCCAAACATACATAATTTTACTTTGCTCTATATTCATTTACATGTTTGTTGTTTGTTTTCCTATGCCCAAAGTCCTCACATCCACTGATAGATAAACTCCTTGAAGA